>NC_000003.12:83040303-83343333 GCF_000001405.40 Homo sapiens
TCCTTGTGAGTAGAATGATTGGCTCTGACTTCTTGTGCAGATACAGATGATTCTACTACCATTTGTAAGCAAGGTGAAACTATCCTTCTTTTCCTCTTACATGTCTTGTTTCACACAAGCTACTGTTCAAGCTCCCACACACTATGTCCATAAAATAAAATAAAATAGACAGCACTCACTTTCCCCTCTGTGTTTTCTTCCTTTAATGCTACTTCAACGAGGTTCTTGGAAGGTTTTCCAAACCCTTTCCTCCTCAACTTTTAAATTTTGCTCAGTTAGATGTGTGGTTTCTACTATATTTTTCTATTTTTCTATTTATACATTTCTAGTATATTTTTTACTCATCTCTATGTATAACTGTCACACAGCAGTAGAGACAGAAATATGTAGGTGCACATATATCAAGATTTATTTATCACTATTCTTTCCTCTTCATCTGTTCACTTTTGAAGCCTGTTTGCTTAAGTTGTTTTACAAATACCTGCCTCAGATCAAGTGCTGACTAACATGAGATCTAAATTATTGCATCAGTGGATGTCTTTATTTCTCTGTGAAAGGTTAAAAATATATTTTCTAGTCTTATGAGTTTCAGGGTGTTACTTTATCTCAGAATGTACAAACTTCCCTTTATTCCAGCCTTCAGTAGTGAAATGGAAGTCTCATAACCCAGATATCTTTTACTTGGTTGGTAGCCTCTACTTTCTACATAAAAGTTTATATGACTTACTCATTATACTTAGAGTTCATAAAAATTTAATATAAATGCCTACACATGTATTTTCTTATTAATCTAGCTTGAAACTCAGTGAGCATTTTCAATAAACACTCATGTCTTTCTATGATCAATACAATTGTCTTACAATATTTGTTAATTATTTCTCTTAGAATTTTTCTATCTATTCTGAAAAATCATTTACTTTCATCTTAGCTTTTTCTTCTTCCTTTTTATTTTCCTGCACTGAGGAAAGGCATGGCATCAGAATGAAACTCCACAAAGAAATTCTAATTTTACAAGTGACAACAAGTACCATCTCTAAGGGCCCTCCCTGAGGGGAAAAGAGTATGACAATCTGAAAGATTTGCCAGCCGCACTGGTGAGTTCTGACATTGCTACTTTTGTTGATTCTCAGCAGTGGGTGACTGTCCCATATTGTCAGATGTTGTGCTTCAGTGAGCACTTACAGTGAGCTGAATGGCTGATGCTCTTGGGTGATCCCAAACAAATTTCACTCCACAGTATTTCTTCTTCCTTCTTGCTGATGTCCGTCAACCCCACCTATTAGCATTCAAAAGATATATCAATAAAATCGAAAGCCCACAGTGTACTTTTGTAATATGGATAGATCCAGGGACTTGTTGCTGGCCAGTTAATTCATAGATCATTACAGGCTTTTGTAAATCTGCTATTTTTTAAATGCCTGTTGTATATAGAATATAAAAGTAAATCATGGCACAAATGCATGTTAAAATGTGCAAAAGAGCTATTCCTTTAAACAATTTTCAACCTAATAATATAGGAAACTTTTATGAAAATGACATATACTTACCGCTGAGAGAAGCTGTACATGGGTGTGCAATAAATCAAAGGGGCTAAGCCGTGAGGATGATATAACACCTGCCATTGGCTGGCTGTCTTCCACAATGTTTATAAATGGGTATTTCCAACTTTAGAAAACACGTAAAATCTATGCAGCATCACATTTTTTCAAACCCTCCTCAAAGCAACAAATGAAAGTACTGCAAAATCATTAGGAGCTATCTTAAAACAATAAAGTATGAAACAAATAACTATTAGGTAAATTTTGCTAAAAATATTCCAGCTAATTTAGTGACTTAAATATCTTTTTTTAATTTATCTTATACAATATTTAGGTAATGAATTTCAGAAGTCTTGTAACATGTGCTTTCAAAGCACAACACACTATTCATTCAAAATGTTATTGTTCCATCTCTACCCTTCATGAACAAAAACTATGAAAATATTATGCTTGCTTATTTCATTAAATATTATCAAAATAATTTTGCATAAAATGTTTTATTTACAGTGGAAAAACATATGAAATAAACTGCATAGAACAAAAAGACAAACTGGTTTATATTCTTGAAATATTTGAATCTATGAATAAAGGTGGTTTTATAAAAATAATTTTTGTCTTTCGTTAAAATATGTTATAAGCTATTTTGTAGAAAGCTACTGTTATTAATATGTCTTACTAATTACAGGCAGGTTAATATTTTAATCAACATGGAGTTGTCAATGTCAAAACACATGTCTCATCACTTGAACCCAGGAGGTGGAGGTTGCAGTGAGCCAAGATCATGTAACTGTACTCCAGCCTGGGTGACAGAGCAAGACCCTGTCCCAAAAAATATATATAAATATATACTTATATATAATACATTTATATATATTTGAGATATTCTGAGGTATATATATATCTAAAAATATTAAATATATCTCAACCTTAACTTTTTGTAATACCTAAACTGATGATTGGTTGAAAAGCAATCAGTTGAAAAGCCTTAGTTCTCTATTGAATTACTATCTTATTAAGTGTTATAAAAATAATAATTATTTTGACATATTCAGGTTGATAATCAATCAAATTATCTGTTCTGGTGATCTGTTCAGTTGATAATCATTCAATTTAAGCTCATATTCTTTGTATATTTATTGGAACACATCGAGTCATTGTGAACATATATTGGGGAGGGTGCTACTGTTTTAACACTGAAGAAGTGTCACTTTTCAGATTTAGGTGAGCTACAATTTTATACCAAGAATTCATCTGATTTGATCATAACCGCATCTTATAATTTTTGAGATAATTTTTACTATTCCATATATTGGCTTCCTACATTCATATTTTAAGAAGCACACACTTTTGCCAACAACAAATATACTGAGAGTTTCCTTATAATAAAGTAACAGAGATATATTCAAACATAATGGTATTTGTCTAAGGCACACATGTGAAGGAGCATTTTTAGCTGGTATATTATATATAATTCTGTTGCCTTAATTAATTTCTAGACTTGATACTCATATCTATGTCTCTGTACTTTGTATAGTACCTGATTTTAGTTATAGTATTCACATTTACTTATTATTCTTATAAAAGTTATGGAGTAGACTCTACTGTTCTCTGAACTCTTTTTCTTAATATGCATAGATAATTCTTAACCATGTTCAGAGCTCCCTTTCTTCCATGAGAGACCTGACCATGGTTCAGTAGGAAACATTATTTTCCAAAGGTGATCTCTTACATCTAAGGATTCTCATCAATTTTCAGAGGATTTTTACACTCCTTACCCCCTGCCCACTTTATATACACAAGACAAAAATATTCCCTACTAAAGTGCCATGGCATTCACCTTGTGTAATGGTTATAATCACAAATTCTGTGTCAGAATACTTATATTCGATCCCAGGTCTGCTATTTTTAAACTCAGTGACTTTGGACAATGGATTTTTATGACCTGTGGTTTCATTTATTCTAAAATGGGTATGAAAACAGTAGTACATACTTCATTAATAAGATGCTTAGAAGAATTCACAATCTATGGTGTTATATACATTTTTGCTGTCATCATTTTTAACATATTTTTCCTAACTTTGAGCATCAGAATCTTGACATGAGAGCAAGTTACAGTTTGTGTCGTCCTGGTCTTTATCCATAATTCTATTTGAAAAAATACAATTTAACTTAGGACATTGTGAATTAATAAATTATTTCAATATCCTCATAACATACAACATAATAATATATAGAATATATAATATATAGATTAAACACACTTATTAAAATTATTAAAATATAATACTTTATAATATAGCTAGTGACTTCTGATGTGAATCTCCAGTTATTTCAGCTAAGTACTTGTTTTATTGACCAGGATGACTAAGAGAATGGCTCTGGTACCTTCTAGATCCTCTCTAATGAATATTATTCTCTCACATTCACAGTCGCATGGAATACACATGATCCCCACTCTAAAAAAATGTGAATTTCACAATATGCTAAGCAGCTTTATTAATAATCCTCTCAACATTGAAAATTCATGATTTTACATTGTTTTACTTATTGACCTACATTATATAAATTACTTTGCTATAAGACTATAATTTATTTAATAATCATCTAGAGATATAGATGTAATATACCCAAGTAACATACTTAGAGATATTTGAAATTGGTTAACAGACTCCCATTAAATCTTACATTTGATGGATTACAGTTTTAAAAACACAAGACTTAAATAACATATAGTTGGTAGGTAACCAATATTTCAGAGCTTCCACTTATAATAGTACAGGCTTCAGTGACAGAATCCATAAAGACTAAGCCCTTCTCTGCTGGTCAAGACCTGAGGGAGTTGTGTTTAAAATTATCAGACTCAAGTCACTCACTGAGTAATTTTAAAGATTAATTTTGTGTTACAACAACCCCGTTTGGATGATAGGAAACACAATCTCTATTCTGCTATCAGATAAGTAATCATGGAGAAGCAGAGAAGAGGAGATTTTAGACTTACTTCTAGGTCACAACCACCCTGTGGGAAGGAATGTTTGCCAAAGAAGTAATTGATATGAAAGCAAGTTTAGAGAAATTTAAATGGAAATTTCAAGCAGTTCACAATCTAAGAGAAAATATTATTCATTTCACTTGAGAAGTTTCATATAAAAAGCACAAATGCAGATAACACACAAATCTAGGAAGAATTCAAACGCACTGTGTGTAAATTAATCAAGCTAATTTAGAAGTCTTTCTGAAAAGCCATACTGTCCCATTGTAGTCAGACAAATTATACTAGAGTTCAGTTCCTCTGCTTTTCTTTTTAGTAAAAGCAAACACATTTTTATTTGATCAATGTCCTAATGGAACAACTTTTCCCATGTCCATTTTAAGAAAGCACAGAATCTCATGATTTGTAATCAAAAGACACTATCAATTGTCCTTTGTAACAATATTATTTATTTTTCTTTGGCTCTGTTGTCCTTTAATATCTGGTTATAATAGACATGTTAATTATAGCTTCACTTTGGTCCACATGGTAAATATTAGATGTTTTCCTGTACACAATGCCATGGTCTACAAGGTAATTTTGTTTGTTGAGTTGATACAATCATTCTACATGCTGTTTTTCATATGCTCCAAAAGAGCATACTAATATAAATTGCAAGAACCAAATACCTCTTCCCCAAATTTGATAAACTAATAAAACATGATAAAAATATCAAATTTTAGAGATGCACACACATTCAAAGGAAATATGGATTTTCTTTGCTGCAAAAAATGCATGTCAATGAAGTAAGATATATTTCAGTATAACAAAAATGCATGTTTGAAAAAGAATATCTCCTAAAGCACTGCTTTGTAGCCTCAGGAATTAATATTAAAGAAGTTTTCATAAAAATGTAAAATAAAAGATGAGCAAACACAGAAAATGAGATACAGATTTATAAATACAATTAAGCATTTCGTGTCATTTTGCAAAAAATAAACTGAATTCTTGAAGCTCTGATGATATACCATAATTGTCTCTGTTTCTGTGATAAAGTTGATTCACAACAATATTTTATAATGTTTCTTTCAGTTTTGGAAATGGCTGAAGAATTTTCTTTGAAACAATAAGTTACTTCTGGTTACATGTTTCAAGTTTTTGAACGTGAATTTTTATTTGTGTTAAACAGTATATAAACTTCGAGTTATAATTGTATACTTGTCATTGTCTTTAGATATTGTGGAAATCCTCATCTGCATTGTATTGTAGTAAGCACAGTTTATCTTCGATGTAAGTTATTGAGAGAGAAAAATACAAAGTGAGGCAAAGCAAGGCAAGGATAAACAATACTCTGGTTTCCAAGTAAAAAATAGACTGCAAGCTGGCAAGGGTAGAAGCAAGGTTATGAGGGAACAACGTATAAATCTCTGGCTTCAGTGATTATAAAGGAATGGAAACAAACATTTCAAAATCAATCAATAAAGAAAAACAATCTTATAATTATCTAGACACCGTGGTAGGAAGAGATTATTGTATAAGATTTGAAACAACTAGAATAAAATTTTATTTATTTTTAAAAAAGGAAAGTTATCATTGTTAAGCACAGTAGTTTAAAATAGACTTCTAATTTTATATGAGTATTTTGTTTAAATGGTGGTTTTGGGCTGGTTGTGCAGTGGGAGAATAAAATTAATATTCAGGCCTGGAGAATTGTGTTCGATGAGACTATCATTGGTTGGCTAGTTTCAGAAGGTTGTTCGCAGGAATGGGTCTACTTTTGATTGGCTTCCCTTAAAAAATTTGAGCCTGCCATTCACTTGATGATATTTACAGTCACAGTCATATGTGCTGAAGCAAGGTGTCAATGACCAACTAATTTAGAAAACTGTTTTTGTTTGACAGATAAAAACTGATTTTGTTGCATTTTTATTTATATTGCTATAAAACAAAACACTTAGTGTTTTCCTGGATATTTGATAATATACAAAATGTGTCATAATACAAAATAACTAGGCAAATGAGAAATAGAAAAAAAGTCCTAATATGGTGGTATTTACAGACCATATGTAGTTAACATCATATTTATCTCTGAAACGCTGATATCTTTCTCTCGGCAATAGGAATGAGACAATAATGATTGCCAAAATTGCTTCTATTCGGCATTGTTCTTAAATCCAAGCCACCTAGACAGTCAACTCAATCTCTATCAAATATACCCAGTCAACTCAATCTCTATCAAATATACCCAGTCAACTCAATCTCTATCAAATATACCCAGAGGATATTTTTGAAGAATCAAAAAACTTATATACAAATATAAATGTACATAGAGTAAGGAGAATGGTCAAGATCAGCAAATATAATCTTGAATACAAATAACACAAAAGTTTGATGAGTTAGCATAGGAAATATCAAAGTACATCTCAATTCTATGATAACTACGACAGTGTGTTTTTAGTGTAAGGGTAAAGCAAAAAATATTAGAGAGCCTAAACTGCAGGTTTGAGCTTCAGATACATGAATTTGAAGATAGGTTATCTGAGTTCGTCTGGTATGAGGAACAGAAAGAGGAAAAATATTGAAGAAAAATGTACAGATTCAGATATTATGGAACACCAGTAAGTGCCAACATACACAAAATGGAGTCCCACAAGGGGAGGAGAGCGATAGACAGAAAGAATATTTGTAGAAACAATGTCTAAAAGCATCCTAAATCTGATGAGAAAAACTGATCTCTACATTCAATAAGCTAAAAAACATCGACACCTAGACACATTATAGTCAAACTGTCCCAAGACAGAAAATGAGTAACCCTGGATGCAGAAAGAAAAAAGTCATTTACAGGAAATAATCCATAAAATTAGTAAATTATTTACAAGAAATTATCATAGCCACAGGTAATGGAATAACCTATTCAAATATTTAGAAACATATTCAAAATTTTTAAAGACACACTGTCAGATGAGAATTCTATACTCAGGCAAACTATTCTTGAAAAGCAAATTCATAATTCTCTTCACCTAAAATTCCCAATAAAGAGTATAATGGAGAAGATATTTGCAGCACTTTTGTCAAAAACATTATTGAAAAAAATAAGAACTCCTAGAAGTCAATAAGAAAATGTAAGCAAATAAGAAACAGACAAATATGAAAGTGGGGACAAAAGCCCCAAACAGAAGAATCACAATTCAAGGAGTCAATAAACATGAAATAGTATTAATATTTTTAGTCAGCTTAGAAATACAAACTAGAACATAATATGACACAAGTGCGTATCCACTAACATGACTATAATACATAGATTGTTAATACCAAGTTTAGACAAAGATATGGAGTGTTACCAGCTCTCAAAAGCAGTCACTGGATTTGTATATCACACCACTTTCAAAATCTTTTGGACAAAATGTGTTAAGTTCAACAACATAAGCATTTCTCCTGACATATTAATTCCTCTCCTACTTATATCTTCAACAAAGTACACATTTGTTACACCATAAGGTATATGGAAGAATAGTCATAGTAGTATTATTCAAAATAGTCAAAGTTAAAACAACTCAAATTTATATAATCTATAAAATAATTACAAATATTATAGTATGCTTTGACAACTGAAATATATATAGTATTCCCCCTTTATCCATAGGAAATTACCTTCAAAACCCCAAGTGAATGCCTGAAACTGGGGATAGTGCTGAACCATATACAAACTATACATTTTTTCCTATACATGCATACCAATGATAAACTTAATTCATAAATTAGGTACAATGAGAGATTACCAAAAACAATAACATGTAACAATTATAACAATTTACCAGCATCACTAGGCTTGCACTTTGGGACCATTATTAAGTAAAATAAGGGCTACCTGAAGACAAGCCCAGCAATGCCACAAAAGTCCACCTGATAACTGAGTTTATTACAAGTGAGAGACCAGCAGGTGGCTTATACATCCTGAATAATCTGGAAAAAGAAATGATTCACGTCCTGGGTGGGATGGCATAAGGTTTCATCATGCCACTCAGAATGGTGTGCAATTTAAAACTTAAATGTTGTTTGTTTCTGGAATATTTTATTTAATATTTTTGGACTTCCACCTACACACGGGTAACTGAAACTGTGGAAAGTGAAACCATGGATAAGCAGAGACTACTAAATAGAAAATAATAATGATAAAACTATACAAAATAACATGGATGATGATCATAAATATATTATTGAAAAAATGTTTCAGGTAGGAAAAAAGTGCATTCTGTATGATTTCATTTATATAAAGTGTATTTATAAGGAAAATTCTTCAATGGTGATACTATGTCTTCAAGGAGTAAGGAACAGTGATTCTAAAAGGGGAAAAAGAAAACCTCCATATGTTTTTTTTTTATCCTGGTGGTAGTTATACAGATGGGTTTTCACTGTAAAAATTGAATTGAATACAAGATTTGTGCAGTAACTGGTTCTCATTTATACTTTAATAAAATGTTTCTGCAATAAATTTTTGTAGTTTAGGCTGCAGTAATAGAGATGGTTTAAAAAAGACTCTATATATAATTTGAAATTAAGCATGACAATTTCTTGATGGATTAAAATAAGAGTGTAAGAAACAGACAGTAGTTAACACAGACTCCAATGTTTTGTAGAGAAAAATATAATTATAGATTTCTGACTTGTAGCAAAAATAGTGGAGTAACAGGATTGGTGGTGAGAAACCATAAATTGAATTTTGACATATTAAATGTATGATGTCTATTAAACATTCAGGTGGAAACCTGAGTAGGTAGTCAAACATGGATTTTGCTCTCCAGGGAGATTTCAGGCTACTGATATATATTGATATAGCGTATACCCATATAGAATAGCTTTTCATATATTTATAATACCACTATGAATATTCTTATTTACAGATTTTTATCATTGGTGTATTATTTAATTAACTGCTTTTTTCTGATTAGGGGTTGTTTTTCTTTATTTTCACACCCTGTTTCGAATTGGATGGTGTGCTTCATATATTTTTCCTTCTTATGTTCTAGATTTGGTTTTATTCTTCTAAATAGCATTGAACTTTTTTCTGGAATGAAGGTACAGAATTGCTATAATCCTTCCCGAGGTTTTGACGCAGTGGGTTCAGAACAGCCTTGATTCAAAAGCATCTTATTCCCAATAATGAGGACATATCCATCCACATCAGACTGATCATCCTATGTCACAAGGGGTCTTGCTGGTTGGGACATCATTTCCAACCATGTTTTAAATGTGGTGATTGATTGTTCTACCCATAACTTATAGGTGGTCCTTTTCTGGTATTGGGTAGCTTATTCTTTCCCTTCTCTCTCTCTCTCTCTCACACACACACACACACACACACACCACATGCACACGCACACACACTCACACACAGCAGTTCTCGGCCAAACACTTCAGTGGCTGTGTCTGCAGTTTCTTTAAGCTTCATCATTATGCAGCTTCTTCATTTCTGATATTTGTCCCACAAATACTGTTTTGGATTCACCAATATATGGACTCTGTCTCCTTGTCTGGGTTCTCTTTCCTATTCTTCAGCCTGGAATCTTACTCGAGGCAATGAACTGGGACACTTATAAGAGTCATCCGTTGTTTTATTTTACTCAGAATCACTGTCTTGAGCTATCTGATCTCTAGATTGAAAATTATTCTGTCATATATACCGTTCATGTTTCTATTTGCTTAATAAAAGGAGGGTAAGTTTGTCTCCTGTTATTTTATCATGGAAGAAAATTTATATTTAAAGAGTTGCTAAAATGGTGTCTAAGATGTGACTTCTGCCTTCAGGTAGCATAAGGTTTGATAAAAACCTAGAGATATACATATAAATAAGGCAAACCATGGCAAGATTTGGTTATTAGCACACTTACAAAGTTAAATACATATCAAGTAAAACATGTTCATTTTTAAAAAGGATTAACCACAAAAATAATATGAATAAAGATGAAAAACAGATCTAAGGAAAGCCCATCAAAAGCAGTTTTTGTTTTTTTTTTTTTTTTGGTAGCCCTAGCCAAAGGACTTACATTTCATCCTAGTGGAAATGTATTATCTTTACCCAAGGTCATTAAATGTATACATCTTATATATAACAGCTCTTATGCTTATTCTAGGAGCAGCAAGAATTCATCTAAGTATGATTTATCTCGCATGAAGATTCCTTATAGCAGATTTAAGCCTCCAAATAAATGAACTATTATTTCCCTTAGTAAACTACACCTTTAATAGTGACTATATTTCTTTTCTATAACAATGAATAATTATAGTGAGTTGATTCCTGATAAAAGGATTCACTTTTTTACCTATTACAATAAAAATAAATTAAGTCTCCAAAAAGTAGGGGAAGAAGAAAAGTCACATTTAAAATACGTAGTTTTGAATGCAGTGGTTGCTATACACTTTTAAAAGCATGAACATATTGAACAGGTAAGTATGTTAACTTTACACATTTAAATACTTTTAACACAATAAACAGATCTCACAGTATACTTGTACCTGCGTTCCTTACACTGATTGGGAGTTGTCATGGCATAAAAATGAATACAGCAGCAAAAAGGGGCATTGATAATAGTCTCATCCTTAATAAATTATACTATGTTTCAAGGAATAATAACAAGAAGACTCAAACCTCCAAAGGGCCACAATTATTATGACAATAATTTTATATATTTTGATTAGCATACTATTTGTAACATAATGCATTCAATAAATGTTTATTGAACTTAAATGATGTGTAATGAACTAAACTCCAGTGGCAGTCTGACTTCGGTTAAAACAGCCAGACAGCATGCCTTGAACATTTAACATTTACAGATTATAAACTCAACAGGAGTCTACACCAATCTTTCAGAACCCTGCTGTACTCCTGGATGAGCCTCTATATACATTGAGCTAAAACTGATTCCCATTCTATATGTGATATTAATCAAACAGCAGGGTTCTGTAGCCCCTTCACCCTGTTTCTGTTTATCATTTCTGATTTTCTCTCTGACCCAATTTCTAGTACAGAAGAGGTCAATGCTTTGCCAAAATGTATTATGAAAATAACTTTTGAATCTTCAATATTATATAGTTTTATTATGATGCAAAATTTATTACAAGGCTTTTGAAAATTTTACAGGATGATTTCTGTTCTATAGCTACGACAACATTATTAGTGCATTATTCTTTATAGGGCTCTCCAAGTAATCTATTTTTAGAAAACTTCAATGTAACATCAGCATACTATTTTGTTCCCATTGAATTATTATTAGTCATTGTTATGTTGATTTTAAATAATACCCAATAAGTTTCTTTAGATTGAAAAGTCTATTTTTAGATTAAAAATAGGTTTATGATAGTTCCCTAAATCTCCTAGAGATATGTAGCAAAACAAATTCATAATCATATGTGTATGTGTGTACTTACTTTCAACTCCCCAAAGCTTCCATTTATTTACAATTTTTTGAAGATTTTATTCATGCTCTTTGGTCATAATGATTAGAAAATAATGAAGAAAGATTTTATACAGTATTTGAATACAACTTGAGTATGTTCATTTGTATCAAAGATAATATTTCATATATTCCTTAAATAAAAGTCAAATTTAACAAAAAATTATATTTTAAGTATCAATATCTGTGATAGAATTATATTTTTCAAGGCACTTTAATAAGGACAATGCAAATAGGGAATAACACATCTAGACCTGAATAAATTTTACAGATTATTATTAATATTCAGGAAAATAGAAAAAGTATTCCCATGAATTTCTGAAATGTAAAGAAATTCTTATGACAGTAAAGTTTAAAGAAATATATTTAATAAAGCAAAAATAACTATATGCTGCAAATTACTTTGAAAATCTACAATCATTCAATTCTGTAAGAGAGAAAATATGTGAAATATATCATGTTGGATAACTAAAATCGTATGAATTAGACTAATACTTGTAATAATCTTAACTATACACGTGATATAAAGTGTCTACCTGCCCACCATTTTAGGTTGAGTCTAAATTAGTAAGGGGAATTTCAGTAAACTGATTAATATTTACTAGCCAATTAAATAATAAACACACTAGAGTTATAAGGTTATAATAAATATATATAACAACATATATAATAACACATATAGTATCAGATATATAATAACATATATAATAACACATATAGTATCAGATAAATACAAATAGTTTAAATTAACAAAGAAATAAATTCACAAAGATATAACAAATAATATAATAAAGATATAACAAATAATATATAATAAAAATATAACAAATATATGTAACATAAATAATACATATAGTATCAGATAAATACAAATAGTTTAAATTAATAAAGAAGTAAATTAATAAAGAAAGAGTTGTGCAATAAGTTATTCTAGACCATTTGAAATAAAGGAAAAAATATAAATATATACATTATATATATATATATATATATATATATATATATAAAATCCCCTTATGCCAAGTAATGTAAAGGACATAAAGTACAAAAATCATCATAAAACTGAAAAGAAATAGGCATTACTATCAAACTTATTAACTGAGGAGTACCTAAAATTATAGAACATATTTGCAAAGTAAAATATCCATGCAGTTTTACATTGCTAAATGTAAAAGAATACATCTACAAATAAGAAGAACAATACATTGCAAATTAACTCAGAAAATACATCATTAATGGGTTAGCTTTTTAAATGTGTACAAGTTACAAATATTATTGAGATTCATATATGAATGAACAAAGACATAGATAGTTGCTTTCAATTATTATAAATAGGCCCTTCAACTGTAAACAATTAAAAAACAAGACAAAATATTTGAGACATAGAATTTTTGGTATTTGACAACAAAGTAGACAGGGTTTTTGTAATTAATAGAAGAAAAACCAAGATAAGACACAGTATAATTGACCTGACTTTCTGCCCGAAAGCATTTTCTAGGCCACTTTGCAGGATCATCAAAAGCAGAACACATCAATCTCCCTCACGTGAGATGGTGAAAGGAATTCAGAAAGGGAAAAGAGGCTAGAAATTATGAGCAGAGTACCAGAATGAGGCTTGAAAAAAATCAAATGGGCATCAGAATATGAATTTCTTTGATAAGTCATGTAGGCCCTGTGTGACACTCCAAGTGCCAGGAATGTAATGACTGTGCTGCTGTAAAGTAAAAAATATCCAGAGCTCACAGATGTCAGAGCCTCTTAAGCTTCAATCAGTCAGATGGATGAATCCATATTGAACAATGAAGGTATTCAGCGTAGATGGCATAACGGTCAAACTTAGGATTTATATCTAAATTAGTACTAATGTAAAGAACATTATTAATCTGTTTTAACAAATCATAAAACAAATATCAAAATAAGAATTTTAAAATTGACATATAAGTAACTATAATAACCTCTAGGAAAAAGACAAAGTACAAATGATCGACCAATGGATTTTACCAATGTCTTTCATACAATGAAAGTGAGCCAAGATCGCACCACTGCACTCCAGCCTGGGCAACAGAGATAGATTACCTCTGGAAAAAAAAAAAAAAAAAAAGAAAAAGAAAAAGAAAGAAAAGAAGAAATTTAACAAAGAATGTACAAGACTTTTACACTTAAAACTATAAAATATTTCTGAAATAAATTCAATTTGTAAATAGAGAGATATTCCTTGCTCATGGATTAGGAAACTAAATATTATTAAGATGGCAATTATTTTCAAATTGATATGTTTGCCAAATAAAATATCTATAAAAATGCCAGCAAAGTTTGTTTCAAAATTTGAGAAAATAAATGTAAAATTTATATGAAACTGAAAGGACCAAGAATATCCAATATTATTATAAAAAAGTTGGAGAATGTACACTTCCTGAATACCAAATTTACTGCAAGCCTACAGAAACCGAGACTGTATGATACATGCATAAAGACAGACATACAGATATGTGGAACAGAACTAAGCATTCAGAAATATATGATTATGATATAGGAAATTGATATTGAAAAAAGTTGCCAAAACAAGTCAATGGAGAAAAGGTAGTCTTTTAAACAAATACATTGAATAATTACATAGCCAACTATTATTTATATATAATTTTATATAGCCATATGAAAATATTATTTAAAAACCTCATACAATGCATGAAAATTAATGCAAAATAAATTGTAGGCCAAAGTGCAAAAGTTAGATTATAAAGCTTTTGAAAAAATACATAGGAGAAAATCTTGGAGTAAACTAAAAGTTTTCAGCTATAACACAAAAAGCACAATACTATTAGAAAAAAAAATATTCTTCATCCTAGTAAATGGAATCTACACCTTATATCATACTTAAGGGAGAATGACTTAAATATTTGTTCATGGATTCTGCAAATGGAGTAAAACATTTTCTCTACGATAGTGATTAAGGGATAAATTTTCACTCTGTTCATTTCTATTCAACATGTTGTGGAATTCCTTGCCAGTGCTGTAAGACGTGAAAAACAAATATAGTGTATACAACGGAGAAAGGAAAGGAAACTTGTTTTGAATCACAGGTCATATGATTATGTAAGTAGAAAAAAATTTAAGAAAAGTCTGTGAAGTAATATTTTAAGTTAGCATGACCGCAAGGTAAATTTAGCATAATTGATTGAATTTCTATATACAAGCAATAGTTGTTTGGAACATAAAAGTAAAAGGCATTTAAGAACAAATTTAACAAAATATGTTGAATACTAAGTACTAAACACTGAATACTAAAAAATACAGAGTATTTCAGATTGAAATTCCATAAGATCAGTCTGAAGACCTAAACAGAGATACACAAATTTCGAGGAATAGAAGACAAAACATGATTAAGATATCAAATTTTACAGTTAATATGTTGATTCAACATATTCCCAATCAAATTCTACCAGACTTCTTTGGAAATTGATAATTGATTCAAAAATGTTTATGAAAATTCATAAAGAACAAATATTCATAAAGAAAGAAAACATGGTAGATTTCACTCCCTGATTTCAGTAATAACTTTAAAGCTAAGGACAAACATACAAATCAATGAAAGAGTCCAAAACAGACCCAGACATATATGATCAATCGACTCTGACAAAGTTACCACAGTAATTCAGTTGGGGAATAAAAGTGCTTTCAACAAATGATGCTGAAACAACTAAAAATTTTAATCAACCAATACACATATTGATCTTTAACACATGCCATACCTACAAATTAATGACAAATTTATAAAATATCTACATGTAAGTGCTAGAACTCAAATATATCAAAGAGAAAATCTTTGCAGGCTTGAAAATATGCTCCTTTAAAGAGATATAAAAAGAATGAACAGAAAGAAAGAATGAACACATTAGACTTCTTATTGAAAGATATTATTAATAAGATAAAAATGCAAGCCTTGGAGAAAAATATGATACTCATAACAATAAAAAAGTGTCAACTAATTATATATATATTGACACTGAAAAAAGAATAAGACTAACATATTTATGAAATTGGAATTTGCCATTTTATCTGAACAAGTATAATAATCATGGGCATTACAAACATTTTCTGTAGCAGTAACATAAGGCAGATTGTTCTTCTGTTTTTCTGAGTTTGTTTTTACTACGTATTGTTAATAAATGGAATAGAATCATAGACTCTGAGCACTGGAATGTTATTGATTATAGTCTAGCAGGGAAAATTTTCTTAAAATTAGCAACAAAACAGCACTCAGAAAAGTTTTTATCTTTTTGAAGAAATAAATTTGGGACATATACTTTTTGCTTCTACAATTACCTTTTGCCTTTTAACAACACATTATCTTAATACAAACATATTTTTTTCCTTTCTATAGTCTTAATTATGTAGTGAGTAGTTTAGTCCAATAGAAGTAATTACTACCTTCTTTAAGATGAAAATATTTGTTATATTTTATAAGCAGTACCATTTCTTATTCCCTGTATTTTTGTACTGCCCTTCTTCACCCAGATATATGGATGACATTACATTTTGCAAAGGTTGCATTCTTAATAATGCCTCTGTTTACAAACACTGATCACCAACAATACAGTTCCATCATTGACAAAGCACATTAATTCCAGGTACATCCATGCCTAAAGGCAGAAAACATCATTTCCCACTGGGGTGAAATAGGAAAATGTCAATTACACAAGGTTAGGCTAACACCATATCAGATAATATTTAAAAAGGGTTTCACATACTGTGACCTTAAACCTGAAATGATAATGATGTGTGGTATGTGAAAGCAAACCTAACCTCTGGAATTATTTAGTCATTTTCGTATTACTAATAAAGTCAAAGGAATGCACTGTTTAATATCTGTGTGTTGCTACTGAAAAGAGCATAGAAAATAATTATTCACAGGTCTATCTACATTTTCAAAGTGGATTTGTCTTACTCAGTTTTCAGTACTGAATATTTTTCATCTTATGTTTGAAAATAAATGAGAACATCTGAACATTCGTTTGGGATAGTACAGAATTAATAATTGTGTCTGTTTGCTGGCACAGTTTTATGGTTATTGTACTAGCTCTATCTTTAAATTTAATGAAGACAAAGAAACAGTGTTCCTGCTTAACCTCCATTATAACTTTATTCTGCAGTGAAACAGTTCTGTCAATTTGTAGTAAAAACAAACATAAGCTTCTAAGGAACTTCATCCTGTTTAAAAGTACCCAAGACTAAAAACATAAAAAGCTTAAGTATTGTAAGTGCATTTTGAAGAAGGGAATTTAAAACATTTCAAAAGAAATAGGTTAACTCAAAATTTTTCTTATCAAAAAACAGAAACTTTAATGCTGTTTGGTTCAAAATCTGATGGTTTCAGAATAAAACTCACTGAGACACACCCTGGTGCATCAGTAATATTTTACTTTTCACATGTCCAAGCAGTCTCAGAACACAATTAAGACCTTCCAGGACCTGTCGTCACAGGTCAGGAACTCAAGTGGGAAAAGGATTGCTGACATCTGTGGTTCAGAGAAAAACAAATCTCAGCAATAAGTTATTAAGTGAATGCTAAAACAAAAGAAGATATGTGAGTTGGAGATTTGGAACCAAAAAAGATTTTGTTACATAATAGTAATATTATTAGTCACAGAAGTATGGGTGGTCCCTTCTAGAAGGTATTTAGATATGTTTATGTTTAACAATGTTTTAGTCAATGACAGACCCTTATGGTCCCTTAATATTATAATACTGCATTTTTACTGTATTTTACATTTCTGTTTTGATACCCAAATATTTACCATTATTTAACATTGTCTACAGTACTCAGTACAGTAATATTCTGTACAGGTTTGTAGCTGAGAAGCAATAGGCTATATTATATAGCCTATTATACAGTGTGTAGTAGACTACACCATGGGTCCCCACTCCCAGGCTGGGGACAAGTACTGGTTCATGGCCTGTCAGGAAACATGCCACACATCAGGAGGTGAGTGGTGGGTGAGTGAACATTACTGCCTGAGTTCTGCCTTCTGTCAGATCAGCCTGGCATTATCTCCTCCTAGAACTTCGAACCCTATTGTGAAGCGCGCATGCAATGGATCCAGGGTGTATGCTCCTTATGAGAATCTAACTAATGCCTGACTAAATCATTCCAACCCCACCACCCATCACATCCCCCCAGCCTCTGACTGATGTAGAAAATTTGTCTTCCACAAAAGTGGTAAACTGGTCCTTGGTGCCAAAAGGGTTGGGGACCAATGGGCTAAACCATCTAGATTTGTGTAAGCACACTCTATAAAGTCTGCACAATGACAAATTGCTCAAGGATGCATTTCTCAGAACATATGCCCATTGTTAAGGGACACATGGCTATAGTTAATTTGAACTTGGATTGTTAAGATTTAAATATACATAACTATGATGTTATTGTGAATGCAGACATTTTTCTGGAATAGAGCAAATTATAATTCATTTACAACAAAAATTACTTATTTACAGCAAATATTACTTCCCCTTTGCTCCAGTTCTTAGCCCTGAAGTGACGTGGTGAGAACAAGATGTCATCATATACGTAAGGAGATCTACCGTAGGCAAGGAACATTGAAATGTAATTTTGGTTGGTTTGTTATATAGAAGCAGGACAGCTGTCTTCCCTTGTCTGCTGAGAGACTAAGAAAAACTTTTGTTCTATAGTATGGCCGCATATTCCTTGGAAATACAGGAAGGAAAGATCTTGAGTTCTTACCCTTCTGAATAAAATAAATTTCTTTGGAAGAATATTAAAAACCAGGGTCTTTAGCTTTACAGTGTAGGCATAGCTGCATTCTATGAGGTCTCATTCTTCTTTGGAATGTAAGTATATACTTCTGGAGAAATAATCTCCCTGGAGTTCTTATAATCAATAAAGACATAATTTAACTTACAGGCCTGTATATTAGCCCCTATTCTAAGGTTTAACAATATTTGTTTCAATAACCCTAATTATGTAAAACCCCCAAAAAATATTTTCTCTGCAGCTCCTCATGAATGTGAGTCCTGCCATCAGCATTGAACATGGAAGTATGCAGTGAGCCTTTCACTTGAGAATGGAATGTTTGTATTAAGTTTCACCAGACTCCAATGTAATAGATCATCCTTAGTGTTCTGCATGGATGTTGTTTTGGGAGCAGTAATTGAAAATCTCATGACAGATCTAATAATAATAATATATAGGTTAAATTCTATCATCTGCTATTTATAGATCTCATGTTCATAAAAGCTGTTGGCAATGCCTCTGGCCACTTCAGCACAGTTTCTGAATAAATTTTGAACAGTTTATTTTTAATATTACTCACATTATTATTCTCTGATGTCAGTCCATTTCAGCTTAAGAGGGCAATAAAGAACTTGATGAATCTTTAGAGTTTTACAATCCTAACTGCGATTTTAATAGAAGACTTTGGAAAGCGTGGTATTCAGAGATTCGTGACTGCTATGGTTTGAATATGTGTCTCCTCCAAAACTCACATTGTAACTTAATCCCCAACATGGCAGTATTGAGATGAGGGACCATTAAGAGACTGGGTCATGATGGCTCTACCCTTATAAATGGTTTTACACACTTAAGGATTAATACATAACTGGATTAATGGATTAATGGGTTATCACTGGAGTATGACTTGTGGCTTTATTAAAAAGGGAAGAGAGAAGTGAGCTAGCATGTTCAGCACCCCTCATAATGTGATGATATGTGCCACCCCAGTACTCTGCAGAAAGTCCCCACCAGCAAAACACCTCTCAGTAAATATGCTACCTAGACCTTGGAATTCACAGCCTCCATAAACAAATAAATTCATTTTGTAAATAACTTACCCAGTTTCAGCTTGTATTAGTCCATTTTCATACTGCTATGAAGAAATACCCAAGTCTGGGAAATTTATAAGGAAAAAGTTTAATGGACTCACAGTTCAACATGGCTGGGGAGGCCTCACAATCATGGTAGAAGGCAAAGGAAGAGCAAAGGCATGTCTTACATGGTGGCAAGCAAGAAAGTGTGTGCAGGGGAACTGCCCTTTATAAAACCATCAGATCTTGGGAAATTTGTTCAATAACACAAAACATCATGGGAAATCCTGCCCTATGATTCAATTACCTCCTACTGAGTCCCTCCTATGACATGTGGGAATTATGGGAGTTACAATTCAAGATGAGATTTGGGTGGGGACACAGCTAAACCATATCATTCTGCCCTCAGCCACTCCCAAATCTCATGTCCTTACATTTCAAAACCAATCATGCATTCTTGATAGTCCCCCAACTCTTAACTCATTTCAGCATTAACTCAAAATTACACAGTCCAAAGTGACATCTGAGACAATACAAGTCCATTCCACCTATGAGCATGTAAAATCAAAAGCAAGTTACTTACTTCCTAGATACAATGGGGGTACAGGCATCAGCTAAGTACACCCATTCCAAATAGGAAAAATTGCCCAAAGTGAAGGGGCTACAGGCCCCATGCAAGTTCGAAATCCAGTGAGGCAATCAAATCTCAAAGCTCCAACATGATCTCCCTTGATTCTGTCTCAGGTCCCAGTCACGCTCATGCAAGAGATGAGTTCCCATGGTCTAGGGAAGCTCCACCCCTGTGACTCTTCAGGGCACAGTCCCCCTCTTGGCTATTTTCACAGGCTGGCATTGAATGTCTGCAACTTTTCCAGACACACTGTGCAAGCTTTTGGTGGATCTACAATTCTGGTGTCTGGAGGACAGTGGCCCTCTTCTCACAGCTCCACTAGGCACACAGGCCCAGTAGGCACTCTGTTTGGGGTCTCTCACCCCACATGTCCCTTCCTCACTGCCCTAGCAGAGGTTCTCCATGAGGACTCTGCCCCTGTAGCATACCTCTGCCTGGACATTCAGGCATTTTCATTTATCCTCTGAAATCTAAGCAGAGGTTCCCACACCTCAATTATTGACTTCTGTGTACCTGTATGCACAATGCTATGTGTAAACTGCCAAGGCTTGGAGCTTGCACCCTCTAAAGCTATGGCCTGAGCTGTATGTTGGCCCCTTCTAGCCATGGATGAGATGCAGGGCACCAATTTCTGTGACTGTACAAAGCAGCAAGGCCCTGGGCCCAGCCAACAAAACCATTTTTCCCTCCTAGGCCCTCTGGCTTGTGATTGGAGGTTCTGGTATAAGGACATCAGACACGTCCTGGAGACATATTCCCCATTGTCTCGGTGACTAACAATTGGCTCCTTGTTACCTATACAAATTTCTTCAGCCAGTTTGAATTTCTCTTCAGAAAATATGATTTTCTCTTCTATCACATCATTGGGCTGCACATTTTCCAAACTTTTATGCTCTGCTTCACTTTTAAACATAAGTTCCTATTCCAAACCATATCTTTGTGAATAAATAAAACTGAATGCTTTTAAGAGCACACAAGTCACCTCTTGAACACTTTGCTGCTTAGAAATTTCTTCCAGATACCCTAAATCATCTCTCTCAAATTAAAGTTCCACAGATGGCTAGGGCAGGGGCAAAATGCTGCCAGTTCCTTTGCTAAAGCATAGCAAGAATCACCTTTGCTCCAGTTCCCAATAAAAGACCACCTCAGCCTGTACTTTGTGGTCAAAACCATTTGACAAATCACTGGGAAGCTCCAAAGTTTCCCGTATATTCCTGTCTTCTTCTGAGCCCTCCAAACTCCTCCAGCCTCTGCCTGTTACCCAGTTCCAAACTAGCTTCCACATTTTAGGGTATCTTAATAGCAGTACCCCACTCTACCAGTACTAATTTTCTATATTAGTCCCTTCTCCTACTGCTATGAAGAAATACCCAAGACTGGGTAACTTCTTAAGAAAAATATGTTTAATGGACTCACAGTTCCACATGGCTCAGGAGTCCTCACATTCATGGTGGAAAGCCAAGAAGGAGCAAAGGCACATCTTACACGGCAGCAAGCTAGAGACCATATGCAGGGGAACTGTCATTTGTAAAACCATCAGATCTCATGAGACTTATTCACTATCACAAGGACAACATGGTAAAAACCTGTCCGCATGATTCAATTATCTTCTACTGGGTCCCTTCCACTACACATGGGAGTTAAAATTCAAGATGAGTTTTGGGTGGAGACACAGCTAAACCATATCACAGGTATACTGTTATAAGCAACAGAAAATTGAATAAGACAGTGACATTTCAAAGGGAGAAACATGCTAGCTGTGACATATTGCTATTTTGTAAAAATGTGGTTGATTTTGGTCTTTCAGAAGATTTTCACTGAGAGTATTTAATTATTTGCTTACTTAAAAATATGACATTCATTTATTGACTTTCAGAAATATGTTCACTGCAACAAATTATTTTTAATTAAATAGATTTTAAACTGGTACTGATATTAATTTTATTACTACTAGTCAGTCATCTTTATCATTTTTAGGAGTAAAAATTATTATATTTTTTCTCATCTGACTCTCTTGCTATTCCATTAGCTAATGTTTCAAGAAAATACATCTAGATATTGCAATCCTTGAAGATAAAATTTCATTAATTAACATGTTTATCAATCTCTTTTGTGTATAAGATTTTTGGTTGACTCAACTCTTAGTCCAGTGGCAGCACAGAAATATTTAGAACTCAGTATCACAAATAAAGTGAATGTGAAATGTACAAGAATAGGGAATTATATATACATAATGCATATTATTTTTGTATAATAATATATATGCATATAATTATGTATATATATTATTTATATATGTAATTATATACACATGTGTGTTTGTGTATATAAAAGTCTCCTTGGGTTGCCATAACAGAATGCCACAGAAGATTGGAGAGCTTAAACAACAAACCTTTATTTCCTTTCAGCTCTGGAGGTTGCGATTCCAAGGTCGGGATGCCAGCATGGTTGACTTTTGGTGAGTTCTGGTGAGGGTTCTCTTTCTAGGTTGTAGACAGAAGTCTTCTTGCTATGACCTCACATGGTCTTCCTTGGTGCTTGCATGCAGAGTCAGAGAGTACAAGCTCTCTGTTGTCTCTTCTTATAAGGTTACTGATCATTTCAGATCAGGGACTCACCTTTATTATCCAATTTAACCTTAATTATTTTTATGGAGCCATCACCTGCAAACACAGCCCATACTGGGGGCCAGCACTTCAGCATTTGTATTTGCTGCAGGGGGGAGAAAAACATTCAATTCATAACATTTTGCTCCTGACTCCTCTACCCAAATTTGTGTCTTTTTCATATGCAAAACACATTCCTTTCACCCCAACAGTCCCCAAAGTCTGAATTCATTCCAAAATAAACTAAAAGTCTGAAGTCCAAAATCTCATCTAAATATCATCTAAAAAAAATGTAGGCAAGACTTGAGTTATGATTCATCTTGAAGAAAATTCGTGTCTAGCTGTGAACCTGTGAAACCAGACAAGTTATGCGCTTCCAAAATACACTGGCAAGACAAGCATAGGATAGATATTTACATTCCAAAGGGGATAAATTAGAAGGAAAAATGGGGTTATTGTTCCCAAGCTAGTCCAAAACCTAGCAAGGCAAATTCATTAGACCTTAAGTCTTAAAAATAATCTTATTTGATATGATGTCCTGCCTTTGGGCCCACTGTGGTGGTGATCCCTCTTGCCAGACCCACTAGAGTGGGCAGAGGAAATTTTGTCCTCATGGCTCTGCCAAGTAGTGGCATCACAGTTGACTATGAATGACTCCACATCCCCATATCTGCAGGGCAGTACTTACCCAAGGCTTCTGGTAGAGACCATGTGGCCTGTTGAAACTAAAGTGATGACTCTGTCCTTTGAAACCAATAAGGTATCCCTGATGATCTCTGAATTGCCTTTATGGTTATTTATTTACTTGAATAATAGCCAGTATTATTTTTATTCACAGCCAAATAGCATAGCTCTATTGTCCTGTCTCGTAGAAGCTAGGAAGCCTCTTAGCTTTCCTTCGTTTTATCAGATCTCTGTCCCCCCAGGTTAAACTTGCAGTGTTTCTATTTGTATAATTCCATAATCTCTATATTGAGTGATAGTTCAGCCACACACTCATTCTATTCAGAACGCACTCTCATATTTTTACAATATGGGCAAGCTGAGAATTTTCTAAATCTGAATATTCTGGTTCCTTTTTGCCTAACATTTTTTAATTGAATTTATCTCTCTACTCTTGCATATTACTATAAACAGTCAGGAGGATCCAAGCAGCTCTTTCAAAACTTTGCTTAAAAATCTCCTCAGTTAAGGATTTAATTTTATCACCGGCAAGTGCCATCTTCCAAACAACCACACAAACAAAACAACAAAACGAAGACTTAATTCATTCACATTCTTTGTAACTTTATAACAATGATCACCTTTCTTCTACTTTCCAATAATCTGTTTCTTATTTACATTTGAGGCCTCACCAGAATGGCTTTTATTTCTACCAACATCCTGTTTCTGCCGTTAATATTTTTAACAAACATTCATATTTCTACCAAAAACCTGTTAATAATTATTTATGTATTACATAAGAAGTTGGAGAACTTTCTTTAAGCTCCTTTGTTTTCTTTCCCAGCCCTAATAAAAATAGTCTTTAACATCTGCATTTCTACCAACACTCCTTTCACAGCAAGAGCAATCTAGGTTTTTTTTTTTTTTTTTCTGGCATGCACTTCCAAACTCCTCCAGCTTCTATCCATTGTACAGTTCCAAAGACACTTTCAAATTTTCAGGTGTTTGTTTTAGCAGCATCCTACTTCTTGGCACTAAAATATGTATTAGGCTGCCCAAGCCGTCATAACAAAATAGCACAGGCTGGTCCAGCATGGCCAAGTTTTCTCTTGCTGGCTTATAGGCGGTCATCTTCTCCTTATGTCCACACACAACCTTTCCTCAGTGTGTGCATGTATTTATGTGTGCCGAGAGAGTGGGAGCAAGCAAGCACTCAGTTATCTGCTTATAAGGAAGTTAATCCTATCATATCAGGGCCCTCCATAAAAATCTCAATTACCTTAGAGGCCTCATCTCCAAATACAGTCACACTGGGGTAATAGGACTTCAAGATATAAATTGGAGAGAAATCACAAACATTCAGTCCATAACAACACACACGTGTAAGCACACAAACACACATGTGAATATATCCTTAGCAGGATTATTTTCATTTGTAAAGGGTGAATGAAAAATGCCTAGATATAAATCAAAAGAGATCAGATGAAGTCTTTCAATAGACTTAAAAATACATCCCTTATAAGGTCATATGACTAAAACAGAAAACATATTTTGGTTAATGCAATATCCTTAAAATATTTTCATGCCAAATGTGGAGATAAAACAAACATTAACAAATCTATATTATATAATGTATGATTTTTGTTAAGAAAATATTCAAAATCTAGTCCACAATTTTAAAAGAAATGTGGATTGTTTCTCATTAGGATAAGAAAGCATTTTAGGGAGAAAATAATCAAAAGTACAGATGACAAAATAGCTTCTGCTTTGTGATATTATGCATATTAAGTAACAAAAAGGAGAGCCAAGAATCAAAATTAGTTTATTTTATGCAGTACTCTGCAGGCTACCTAGATTTATTACTGAGTAATAAAGAATTTGGCCTGAGCTCAAACAGAAGTGTAACCTACATCCCTGATTCCTGGGAAGTAACAACTAAACACTTAAAATTTTTCACATGCTAGGACTGTTTTTGTTGTTTGTGGTGGAACCCTCAAACCACACCTGATAGTTTATGCTGAGTCGCTTTTGGTGGCTTCTGGGCACACAGAAAGACCAACCACATAATTAGAGGATTGAATTTTGAGCTATATATCAGCCTGACCTCTGAGGGAGGAATAAAGGGGTTAAAGTTGAACTAAATTATGCGGGTGATGGTTCAATCAATCATGCCTATATGAAACCACAATAAAACTGGACCCAGAAGCATGAGTAAGCTTCTCTGGTTTACAATAGTCTTGAGTATTTTCACCCATTGATGCCAGGAGAGTAAAGTATCCCTAAGAATAACAAGTTGCAGATTTGAAACCCTCCCACATTTTTCCTTAGGCATCTCTTCTTTGGCTGGTTCTAATTTGTATCTTTTGCTATGATAAAACTGTGCTTATAAATACAGCAATTTCTAAATTTTGTGAGTCATTCTATCAAATTACCTAACTTGAGAGAATCTGTGGGACCTAAGTTTGTAGCCTGCTGCCCCAAAGTACGATGACCCTGTGGACCTTTCAACTTATATTTGATGTCGGAAGTCTTAACAAGACTTGGTAGTTCTGGAGAAGTAAATTCTTAACCTGGAGGTTGGTTAATTTTGGATAATTTCTAAGGTGGAAGAGTTACTTAAAGATTATTTAACTTAAAGATTATATATCTGACTTGGCATTCTGATTAGTTATGCTAGTCAAAAATCTTGTTTAAATTTCCTAATTAATGTGTACTTATTTCTTACAGATGGCACCATCACTGTCGTCAATGTGTGCTATGGTTTGCCTTATGAGTCAGTTTGGCTAGGCAATAGCCTCTGCTTATTCAATCAAAGGTAAGTCTAGGTATAAAAGTGAAAGCATTTTGTTGATGTAATTAAAGTTTATACTTGGTTGGCTTTAAGGGTGATTATCCCAGGCACTCTGGTTGGGCCTATTTCAATTAGTTGAAAGGAACAAAAGCCAAAATAGACAAATGGGATCTAATTAAACTAAAGAGCTTCTGCACAGCAAAGGAAACTATCATCAGAGTGAACAGGCAACCTACAGAATGGGAGAAAATTTTTGCAATCTATTCATCTGACAAACGGCTAATATCCAGAAGCTACAAAGAACTTAAACACATTTACAAGAAAAAAAACAACCCCAACAAAAAATGTGCAAAGGATATGAACAGACACTTCTCAAAAGAAGACATTTATGATTTATGAGGCCAACAAACATATGAAAAAAGCTCATCATCACTGGCCATTAGAGAAATGCAAATCAAAACCACAATGAGATACCATCTCACACCAGTTAGAATGGTGATCATTAAAAAGTGAGGAAACAACAGATACTGGAGAGGATGTGGAGAAATAGGAATGCTTTTACACTGTTGTTGGGAGTGTAAATACTTCAACCGTTATGGAAGATAGTGTGGGGATTCCTCAAGGATCTAGAACTGAAAATACCATTTGAGTCATCAATCCTGTTACTGTGTATATACCCAAAGGATTTTAAATCATTGTACTATAAACATACATGCACACATATGTTTATTGTGGCACTATTCACAATAGCAAAGACTTGGAACCAACCCAAATGCCTGTCAATGATAGACTGGATAAAGAAAATGTGGCACATATACACCATGGAATACTATGCAGCCATAAAAAAAGATGAGTTCATGTCCTTTGCAGGCACATGGATGAAACTGGAAACTGGCTGGTCATGGTGGCTCATGCCTGTAATCCCAGCACTTTGGTAGGCTGAGGCGGGTGGATCAAGAGGTCAAGAGCTGGAGACCAGCCGACCAACATAGTGAAACCCTGTCTCTACCAAAAATACAAAAATTAGCTGGGCGTAGTGGCACGCGCCTGTAATCCCAGCTACTTGGGAGGCTGAGGCAGGAGAATCACTTGAACCAGGGAGGCAGAAGTTGCAGCGAACCGAGATCGTGCCACTGCATTCCAGCCTGGGTGACAGGATGAGACTCTGTCTCAAAAAAAAAAAAAAAAAAAAAAAAAGAAACTGGAAACCATCATTCTCAGCAAACTAACACAGGAACAGAAAACCAAACACCACATGTTCTCACTCATAAGTGAGCATTGAACAATTAGAACACATGGACACAAGGAGGGGAACATCACGCACTGGGGCGTGTCAGGTGGTGGGGTCCTAGGCGAGGGTTGATGGGTGCAGCAAACCATCATGGCACGTGTATACCTATGTAACAAACCTGTACATTGTGCACATGTATGTCAGAACTTAAAGTATAATAAAAAAACTTTTATAAATAAAATAAAAAGGTAAAAATAAAAGCAGACCTAAAGCTTTGCTAAGGAAGAAGAAATTGTACCTATGAATAGCAACTTTAGCTTATGCCTGAGAGTCCAACTTGCTCTTTCATGTGTACTGGCCTGTAGAGTTTGAATTTAATTACGTGTCAGTTGCTTTAGTTTTAAAATAGAGATAATAATATTACAACTCACACAAGGTGCCTTTATTCCTCTATTTTGTTTTTTCTTTGCATGGCACATACTTCTTCATCCCTTTACTTTGAGGTTGTGCATGTCATTAAATGTGAGATGGGTCTCTTGATGCCAGCAGATGGTTGGGTCTTGCCTTTTGTTCCAGTTTGCCACTCTACGTCTTTTTAGTGGGGTGTTTAGCCCATTTACATTCAAATGTTAATCTATTTTTCCCCTATGTGTGCTGTATGCTACAACTAACTGCATTATCAACATTTCTTAAATGTATCCTAATTACATTTTGTAGAACACTGCAATAATTTAATAACAGAAATTATTTTAAAATGCACAGGAAAAAATATGCTTAAATAGACCATGTAGTGCTACAGAACAAATTTTAATAAATTTCAAAAGATTAACAACTATGCCATCTTACTAAATTAAACTAAAACTAGAAATGAATAAAATAAGAAAACTAAAAATATCAAAAGTATTGAAATTAAATCATATATTTCAAAATGTTTTATAGGATAAACTACCAAAATACAAATAAGAAAATATTTTGAACTAGGTGAGTATAAATGTAAAACAGCAACATTTATAGGATATAGCTAATTCAATGATCAAAAGAAAATCAATCCTTTTACATATATATCAGAAACTATGTATAGCTTTCTCTCTCTTCTTCTCTTCCGTGTTATTACTAGAAAGGTAAAAAAAAATACAGTCATATTTTCTTTAAAAAAACCTAATGAACTCTGAGAATTTAGGGCAAGACAAGCTTAAAAAATAATATTAGCTCCATTTATCTCCCCGCAATGACATGATCTCAATTTTTTTTATGACTACATAGTTTACTATGGTGTATATGTACCATATTTTCTTTATCTAGTCTATTATTGATGGGCATTTAGGTTGATTACATGTCTTTGCTATTGTGAATAGTCCTGGAGTGAATATACACATCCATGAGTCTTATAATAAAATAATTTATATTGCTTTGGGTATGTACCTAGTAATGGGATTGCTTGGTTGAATGGTATTTTTTTCTTTAGGACTTTGAGGAATTGCCACAATTTCTTCCATAATGGCTGAACTAATTTACACTCCCACAAACAGTGTATAAGCATCCCCTTTTCTCCACAATCTCACCAGCATCTGTTATTTTTTGACTTTTTAGTAATAGCCATTCTGACTGGTGTTAAGTGGCTATTATCCTTAGCAAACTAATACAGAGCCAGAAAACCAAATACCACATGTTCTCACTTATAAATGGGTGCTAAATGGTGAGAACACATGGACACATAAAGCAGAACAACATACACTGGGGCCTTTTGGAGGGTGGAGGATGGAAGGAGGGAAAGTTTCAGCTAAAATAATTAATGAGTACTAAGCTTAGTACTTGGGTGATGAAATAATCTGTACAACAAACACCCATAAGATAAATTTACATATGTAACAAACCTGTATTGTACCCCTGAACTTAACAGAAAAGTAAAAATATAAATAATAATAATATTAGAAACAAATTGACTACAGAAGAAAACCAAAAAATAAATTGGAGTACGTAAAAATTAAGAAATTAAAAAATCAAAACAAATTCATAAAAAATATCACATTAAGTGAGTTCTGGTTCTCAAATGGAAGGATAAAGGGAGGGTGGCTTCAATCTCCCTCACAGAAAACAAAAACAAACACACAACTTTGAGATCTATACTAGCAACAATCCAGAGCTCCAGTGTGAGGAAGAAACAGTTTCTGGGGCCATAAAGAAGTGGAAAATCTCTGAGCACGTGGTAGGGAATTAGACTTCCACATCTGTGATGCCCCTCCGTCCTTATTGTCGGAGCACAAAGCATGTGAAAACTCTCCCACCGACTTAGTTTCTACACTGGAAAAAATAAGACTGATGTGGTCAGCCAACTGCATTACCATCTTGGTTTCACTGGTAGAAAACCAGTCTTTGCTTTAAGTCATGGGTAGCATTGTGATTGTCTGAAGGGAGAAATATTCCTAAGGACAGGCAGAGACAAATCGAGGAGGTGGGATTATCATCCTCAGCTCCAGAAACTCTGCTCCATAAAAATTTATAATGACAAAGGAGACACCAAATCAGAGTAGCTGTTTACCAGTACCACACTGTAGGAGATACATTCCCTGCATCCCCTGAGCACAAACCCCTAGCCAGCCTTCACACACTGCTGGGATAATTCCTTCATGACCTCTTCCACTTGGAACAAGCACTGCTCCACTTGCTAGAGATGAGGCAAACCTGGGCTTAAGGTGCCACTTAGAGCTGAGAAGGAGACAGAAACCTAGCAAAGAAGATTCACTAAGCAGACATATTCAACAAAAATCAAAACAAGCTAGATAGGGAAACTTGTAATAAATAATGAATCCTTCAATGCAAAGACACAGATGCATACCCACAAGAAACAACAACAAACAGGGAATCATGACCTTCCCAAATGGACAAATCAAAATCCAGTGACTGATCTTAACAAGATTTATGAGCTGCCTGAGTAATAATTCAAAATATCAATTATAAAGAAGCTCAGTGATCTCCAGTACAACACAGAAAAGCAATTCATAAATGTATCTTATAAATTTAGCAAAGAGATTAAAATAATAAAATCAAATGAATCCTGGAACTGAGAAATAATATTTGTTGAATTTAAGAACTCTTTTGAGACCTAAATAGCACAGTCAACCAGACAGAGGAAAGAATCTGTGAGCTCAAAGATCAGCTACTGGAATATACACAGGCAGAGGAGAAAAAAAAGAATTTAAAAAATGAAGATATTTTACAAGATATAGAAAATTATTTCACAAGACCAAATCTAGAATTATAGGTGTTCAAGAGGGAACTGAGGAAAAACAAGAGGCAAAAAGCTTATGCAAAGAAATCATAACAGAAAACATCCCAAAGCTTAAGAAAGATATAAGTACACAGGTATAAGAAGGTCTTAGAATACCAAAGAGGTTCAACCCAAGTAATACTAACCCAAGGCATCTAATAATGAACTCTCCAAGGTCAAAGCGAAGATCCTCAAAGCAGTGAGAGATATGAAACAAATAATGAATAAAAGGATTCCAATTCATTTAGCAGCGGAATTTTCAACAGAATCCATACAGGTTAGGAAGGAGTGAGACAACATTTTTGAAATACTCAAATAAATAAAAATGCGATACAAGTATGCTATATCCAGCAGTATTTTTATTCAAATATAAAAGAGAGATCTTAAAGTCTTTCCCAGACAAACAAAAGCTGAGAGAATTTACCACCACCAGACCTGTCTTGCAAGAAGTATTAAAGGCAGTTCTTTAATCTTGAAGAAAATTTCACTAATGTGCAAAAAAAAAAAAAAAAAAAAGCTATAAAACCTACTACTAAAATTAAGTACAACAACAAACATAGAATATACTATTACTATGTTTGCGGTATGCAGTCTACTCATGACTCTAATATGAAGCCCAAAAGACAAATCTATCAAAACAACAATAGCTACAGTAACCTGTTAGAAGTAATATGAAAATATGTAAATTGGGAAAACTGCAAATCAAAATGTTGGACAATAGAATTAAAGTGTAGAAATGTTTTCTCTCTGTTTTTATTCTTTTATTTCTGATTTAAGATAAGCTGTCATCTCGTCAAAACAACTTGTTATATCTATAAATGTTTGTTGTAAAACTTGTAACTACAGCAAAAAAAATCCTATAACAGATTTACTAAAAATAGACAGCCACAAATTAAAACATACTATCAGAGATAATGACTTGACCACAAAGTAAAACAGTAAGAAAGGAATAAAGAGAGAAGAAGTCTCAAACCATCAGAAAACACGCAAGAAAATGGCAGTAGGGAGTCCTTATTTATAAATAATAATACTGAATATAAATGGTCTCAATTCTTCAACCACATGAAGTGGTTGAATGGATAAAGAAATAAGACCCAACAATATGTTGCCTTCAAGAAATCCTCTTCACCTATAAAAATATACATAGATTGAAAGTGAAGAGTAGAAAAAGATATTTCATACAACTGGAAACCAAAGAAGAGCAGAAGTAGCTCTACTAATATCAGATAAAATTTACAACAATTACAGGCTGCAAAAAAAGCAAGAAGGGTAACTATATAATGATAAATGGATCAATTCAGCATGTTGATAAAACAATTATAAATATCTGTGCACCCAACTCTACAGCTCTCAAGTATATAAAGGAAATATTCATAAATCTAAAGGAACAGAAAAAAATGCAATACATTAATAGTAAGGGGCTTTAACACGCCACTCTTAGTAATGGACAGATCATCCAAACAGAAAGTCAACAAAGGAATAGCAAAGTTAAACTATATGTTAACATTATTAACTATATAGTATAACATATATATGTTATACTATATAGATTTATACTATAGTATAGTATACTGTATCTATACTATATAGATTTAATAGTTAGAGCTAACTGACCTTTACACAACATTTTACCCAACTGCTGTAGAATACACTTTTTTTTTTTTCAGCACATGGCCTATTCTCCAGAATAGATATTTTAGGCCATAAATTCAGTCTGTGCAAATTTTAAAAATATACATAAATAATACCAAGCATCTTTTCTGATCACAATAGAATAAAACTGGAAACGAGGAACCTGGAAATCAGGAACAAACTAAAAATCAGGAATAAAACTAGAAATCAGGAAAATATACAAACACATGGAGATAAATAACATGCTCCTGAATGACCAATGTCTTCATGAAGAAATTAAGAAATAGTTACACATTTCTTGAAACAAATGAAAATGGAAATACAAAACATAAAAATCTATGGGATATGGTAAGAGCAGTATTAAGAGAAAAGTTTATGGCAATAAATGCCTATATTAAAAAAGTAGAAAGTCATCAAATAAATAACTCAATGATGCACCTCAAGGAACTAGGAAAGCAGGAAAAAAAAGAAATTCAAAGTTAGTAGTAGGAAAAATTATAAAGCTCAGAGAAGAAATAAATGAAATTGAGACTTAAAAGAATTAAAAAATACAAAAAGCCAATGAAATTAAAAGTTGGTTTCTTGAAAACATAAAATTTACAAACCTTTTGCTAGCTAAAAAGAAAATGAGATAAGAACCAAGTAAAATAAATCCAAAATAAAAAGGTGACATAAAAACTGAAATTTTAGAAATATAAAGAATCATTAGAGACCATTATGCACAAATGTAAGCCAAAAAATTGAAATACCTAGAAGAAATGAATAAATTCTTGGACACATACAACTCATCAATATTGAAACATGAATAAACAGAACACCTCAACAAACCAATAATGAGTAACAAGATTGAAGGCATAATAAAAACTCTCTCATCAAAGAGAAGCCCAAGACCTAAAGAATTAGCTGTTGAATTCTACCAAAGATTTACGAATAACTAATGACAGTCCTACTCAAACTCTTCAAAAAAGAAAAAACTAGAAGAGGAGAGAATATTTACAAACTTAATCTACACGGCAGCATTACCCTGACACTAAAACCAGACAAAGACACAACAATAAAGGAAAACTAGAAGCCATTGTCACTGATGAATATAGAGACAAAAGTCCTTAACAAAATTCTAGCAAACCAGATTCAATAACACATTAAAAAAGTATTTACCATGATCGAGTGAGATTCATCACAGGGATACAAGGATGATTCAACATATGCAAATTAACAAATATGACAGATCACATTAACAGCATCAACAAAACATATGTAATTATTTGTATTGATAGCAAAAAAGCATTTTGTAAAATTCAACATCTCTTTATGATAAAAACCCTTGTGAAACAAATATAGGAGCAACACATCTCAAAATAATATAGGCCATATATGATAACCCCATGGCTAACATCATACTGCACAGGGAAAAATTGAAGGTCTTTCTTCTGAAGACTGGAACAAGCCAAAAATTCCCACTTTCACCTCTATTATTCAACATAAAACTGGAAGTCCTGGCCAGAGCAATTAGGCAAGAGAAAGAAATAAAGGCCATCCAGTCTGAAAGGAAGTCAGATTAGCCTTTTTCACAGACAACATGATTTTATACTGCATAACTGGATAGCCATGTCCAGAAGAATGAAACTGGACCACTACCTTTCACCAAACTCAAAATATTATTCAAGAAGGATTAAAAATTTCAATGTAAGTCCTAGGAAATACACATTTGACATTGGCTGTGGCAAAGAATATATGGCTAAGTCCCCAAAAGCAATTGCAACAAAAACAAACATTGACCTAATTTTTAAGAGGGACCTGATTAAAGAGCAACTGCACAGCAAAAGAAATGATCAACAGAGTAAACAGACAACTTAGAGAATGGAAGAAAATATTTACAAACTATGCACCCAGTAAAGGTCTTATGTCCAGAATCCATAAGAGACTTAAACAATTCAACAAGCAAAACCCTAATAACCCAATTAAAAAATGGGCAAAGGACATGAACAGACACCTCAAGAGAAGACATGCAAGTGGCCAACAAACATATTTAAAATGCTCATCATCATTAATCATAAGAGAAATGCAAATCAAAACCACAGGGAGATGCCACCTCACACCAGTAAAAAAGTCTATTATTAAAAATTCAAAAATAAAAAACAATGTTGGTATGTTGGGAGTCTTCAGAGAAAAGGGAATGTCTATACACTTGATGGGAATGTAAATTAGTGTAACTCCTGTGGAAAGCAGTTGGAGGATTCCTCAGAGAACTTAAAATAAAACTGCCATTTAATCCAGCAATCCCATTATTGGGTATATATCCAAAGGAAAATAAGTCTTTCTACAGAAAAGACTCATGCACTTGTATGTTCATTGCCATGCTATTCACAATAGCAAAGACATGAAATCAGTGCCTATCAATGGTGTTTGGATAAATAAATTGTGGTACACATAAACCATGGAATACTATGTAGCCATAAGTAAAAATAAAATTATGTCATTTGCAACCATATAAATGCAGCTGGAGGACATTATTCTAAGCAAATTAATGCAGGAAAAAAAACCACATTTTCTCATTTACAAGTGGGAACAAAGCATTGAGTACACCTGGGCATAAAGATAGGATCAATAGACACTGCACCTACTATAGGGGAGAGGGAGGGAGGGGCATGGGCTGAAAAACTACCTTTTGGGTATTATGCTCACTACCTGTGTGACAGGATCATTCTTATCCCAAATTTCAGCATCAGGCAATATTCCCACATAACACACCTGCATATGTGTGTTATGTCAAATCTAAAATAAAACTTGAAATAAAAATAAAAATTAGTACCATTCAGTTACATCAGCAAAAAATCTGAAAAAAATCAAGAAACTATTACCCTTTACAATAGTTACAAAAAATATAATACCTAGGAATCAATCTGACCAAAGAAGTGAAAGATCTATACAAGGATTACTATAGGATTCTGATGAAATAAACAGGACATATAAAAAATCAAAGATATTGTATGCTTGTGGATTGGAAGAATTAATATTTTTAAAATGACAAAAATACCCAAAGCAATTAATCGACTCAATGTAATCCTTACCAAAATACCAGTGACATTCTTCCCAGAAATAGAAAAAAAATTGTTAAATCTCTATGGAATCACAAAAGACCCTAAATAGCCAAAGTCATCCTGTGCAAAACGAACAAAACTAGAGGCATAATACCAGACTTCAAAATTTACCACAAAGCTGTAGTAACTAAAATAGCACGCGAATGACATAAAAAGAGACGCATAAACCAATGGAACAGAATAGAGAACCCAGATACACTGTGTGCTTTTGTGTGGGTTGTTTGTTTGTTTCTTTCAGAGACTAGCTCTTGCTCTGTTACCCTTGCTGGAGTACAATAGCATGACTGTAGCTCGTGGCAGCCTTAAACTCCTGGACTCAAGTGACCTTCCTATCTCAACTTCCCAAGTAGCTGGGACTGCAGGCATGTGCCACCACACCTCGAGATCTCAAATATAAATCCACACATTTACTACCTACTCATCTTTGACAAAGTCACCAAGGGTATACGATGGAGCAAAGAAAGTCTTTTCAATAAACAGTGCTTGGAAAACTGTATAACTAAAAGTGGAAAAATAAAACTGAACTTCGATCTCTCATCATACACAAAAATCAAAACAAAATACATTAAAGATTTACATATATGGCTGAAACTATGATGCTACCAGAAGAAAATGTTCCAGGATATTGGTCGACACAGTGTTTTTTGTTTTTTGTTTTCTGTTTTTTTTTGTGTGTGTGTGTCCGTGTGTGTGTGTGTGTGTAAGATCTCAAAAGCACAAGCAATCAAAGCAACCCTGCATAGTTTGTATTATATTAAGCTAAATAGCTAATATTAAGCACATTTTATTAAGCTAAATAGCTTCTGCACATCAAACTAAACATTCATAAAAATAAATGACTTATTACTAGGCCTTGAGTTTGACACAAAATATTAAGTATGAAAGTCAACAAAGTGAAGAGAGAACTCACAGAATGGGAGAAAACATTTACAAACTCTCCATTTGACAAGGGGTATATAACAAGAATATATATGGAGCTCCGACAACTCAATAGCAAAAAAGACACAATAATGTGATCTAAAATGTGCAAAAAGTCTAACTAGATATTTCTCCAAACAAGGCAGACAAATGGTCAACAGGTATATTTAAAAATGCTCCACATCACCAATCATCAGAGAAATGCAGATTAAGACCACAATGTGAAATTATCTCACTCCAGTTAAAATGGCTATTATTAAAAAGACAAAAAATAACAGATGTTGGTGAGGATGTTGAGAAAAGAGAACTATTAGAAATCATTGGTAGGGATGTAAATTTGCAAAATCACCATGGATATTAGTATGGAGATTCCTCAAAAAATTAAAAATAGAACTACCATATAACAGCACAATCCCATTGCTGGGTACATATTTTAAAAAAAAGAAAATCAACATATCAAGAAGTTATCTGTACTTCCATATTTATTGCAGTACTATTTACAATAGCCAAAATGTGGAATCAAATGCTTATCAATGGATGAATGAATTGATTTAAAAAGTTGGTATATATGAAGTTACATATTATTGAGCCATAAAATAGAATAAACTTCTGCCATTTACAGCAATATGGATGGAATTGGAGGCCATTATGTTAAGTGATATAAGCCAAGAACAGAAAGACAAATATCTCATGTTCTCACTCATGTAGGGAAGCTTAAAAACTGGATTCATGATGATGAAGTAGCATGATGGCTGCCAGAGGCCACAAATGGAAGGGATGAAGGGGGCATAAGGGGAAAAAAGGATAAGTTTATTTATTACCACTGAATTGTGCATTTAAAAATGGTAGAGAGGGTAAATTAAAAATTAACATTAAAAAAATAAAAACACATTAAGCAAGGGATGTGTAAAGCTACAAATTGGAAGAATATGTGAACATTCCACATATTTGAAAAAGGGTCATAATTACAATAGTATAACTCTTATGATTTTGTAAGACACACACATTTCATTTCATACTTAAGCAGGACTTCAAATAGATCTAATTTGCCAATAAGCATCGGAAAATTTGCTCAGCATTGTTATTCATTTTAAATTAAAAACACAGTTGTTTATACATACATCTCTACCAAAAGGGCTAAGGCTATTAAGTTTAAAACCTGTTACTGAGAGTGTGCAGTAAGTGCAATTTATTCATTATTGGTGTAATTATAAAATTGTAAAATTAAATTGGAAAACTATTTGGTAATGTTTGATGTAGTCATCTGTATAGTCTTCCTATGACCCAGCAATTCTGCTTTTAGGTTTTTATAAGAATAATGAGTGTCTATGTTTATATAATGGCTTGTTCAAGAATGTTCAGAAAAGTTTTATTTATAATAGCCCAAATTAGAAGCAATTCAAATGTCCACCAAAAGAGAAAAGCCACATTTTATAATATTCACACAACAGAACACTTCACAGCAATAAAATATTCTACTATTCATATGTGCAGCTACATTATTTAATATGTAATATTTATGAAGCTGATATTATTATAAACATTTACGTCAATTCCTCTCTTTCCAGGGTCCAAAAAAATCATTGATAAAGTACTGAAGCTCTATTTAGAGGAAAGCCACTCTAAATATACAGTGGCATATAGGTTTTTACATATATTTTTTTATTTGACATAAAAATATTTGGCTTATAGATATTTATTTGACATATAGATCTTTGACATATAGATTTTTATTGACCATGCCATAGTAATTGATAAATATATTATCCAAGTTTCAGTATATCTACTATACTTTTTTAAAACTAAAAATTCATAAAGATAAATGAGTTATTATTAAGCCTTGAGTTTGACACAAAATATTATATATGAGAGTTAAAGGCAGAAATGTCAAATCTAAGGTGTAGTATAACTTCTGAAACATATTAGAAAAAATAGTTTATAATTTTAAAAACAATATTCAGCATATAAAATATGGACTAAATAATTCAATGGAAATAAATATTTAAATATTTTGAAATGTGGTAAAAAGCAATGGTTTAAAAATGTAGTTTAGGCAAAGTTAAACTTTAAAAGAATGTGTCTAATAATTTAAAATTTTAGGACAGATGAATTACTAAGGAATACATGAGATATTAAGTCAGAAATGGCTCTAAAAGAAGTAATTTGGTGAATGATATATTCTTTAATTAAGGAAGTTGATAAACCAGTGAAAATAAACCCAAATTCTTCAATTGATTCAAAATGGCATGAGAAAACTTCACTTAAATCTCTTTCCCATTTTTCCAAAGAACTGTATGTTTCACATCAATTTTATTATATTGATTTTAAAATGTAGGTACAGTACTGTGTTTCTAAAAGAAGAAATATATTCTGAGAAGTGCATCATTAGGTGATTTTGTTTTTGTGCAGACATCTTGGAGTCTAGTTACACAAACCTAGATTGTATAGCCTACTACACACCTAGGTTATATGGTATAGACCATTGCTCCTAGGCTAATACCTGTACAGCATGTTACTGTATTGGATAGTGCAGACAATGTTAACACAATGGTATTTGTGTATCTAAACATATCTAAATATAGAAAGCGTATAATAAGATATGATATAAAAGATAAAAGGTGGTACATCTGTATAGGGCACTTACCATGAATTAAGCTTGCCAGACTGGAAATTGCTCTGAGTCAGTGAGTGAGTGGTGAGTAAATGTGAAGGCTGAGGATACAACTGCACACTGCTGTAGACTTTATAAACACTGTACACTTAGGCTACACTAAATTTACAAACAAATAGTTTTATTTCTCCAATAATAAATTAACCCCTATTTACTGGAATTTTTTATTTTATAGACAATTTTTTAAAACTTTTTGGAATTTTGTAATAACACATAGCTTAAAACACAAACACACTATATTGCTGTACAAAACCATTTTTATATTCTTATTTTATAATATTTTTTAATTTTTAAATTGTTCTATTTATTTATTTTTACTTTTAAAACTTTTCAAATAAAAACCAAGACATAAATATACACATTAGCCTTGAACTACACAAGGCAAAGATCACCGATATCATTTTCATCCAACGCCACACCTTGTCCCACTTGAAGGTCTTCAGTGGCAATAGCATGCATAGGGCTGGCATCTCTTATAATAGCAATGTCTCCTTTTGGAATACCTTCTGAAAGGCCTGCCTGAGGCTGTTTTACAGTTAACTTAAAAAAATAATACGAAGAATATACTTTACAATAATGATAAAATGTAGTATAGTAAATACATAAACTGGCAACATAGTCATTTGTTATCCTTATCATATGTGCCATACTTTTATTTAATATATGACTGGCAAAACAGTAGGTTTGTTTACACCAGCATCACCACAAAAGCCTGAGTAATGTGTTGTGTTTCAATGTTATGATGGCCAAAATGTCAATAGGTGAGAATTCCAGTGGTCTTATTGGACCACTGTTGTATTTGCAGTCCTTCATTGACAAAACATTTTTATGCAGTACTTGACTGTATATGAACTTGAAACTATAAAAAGTATATAAAACTAGATTGCAGAAACAAAAATCTGTTTAGTTTCTACACTCATCATTCATTTTTATTTTTATTTATTTTTTGGTATGAACCAAATCAATCTATGATATTTGCTTAGGCCTGAAGGAAAGAATAAAACCTTCTGGGGAACAATTGCTTATAATCTCTTTGTCACTGTGCAGTAACACTAAATAGGGTTCTTCACGCTCCTTCTTCAGTTACACTGACACATTAAATAAAAATCTATGAACTTTATTTCTTATGACCATTTCCAGGATGGTCTTTATGTTTTGAAAAACCATCAGATAAGAATAGTTCCCCAGATGTCTTACAAAGTGGCTATTAGCTCTTTCTGTGCAATAAATCTCTGAAAAACAAAGGCAATGATTTTCAGGAAAACGTATTAGAAACATCCATTTCAAATAGCTTACATTTAAATCACAATTTCTGTTTCACCAAGTTGAAATTCTGTATACAAAGTACAATATCAATCATTTAGTGAGTTAAATATGTCTTTTATTAGTTAGTTAAATCCTGAACAAATTGTAAACTCAGTTTTCTCGATGTTTTTAACTCAGGTTACCTCTCTATCTCTTTCTTGCTCTCTTTCTCTCCCCTCTCTCTATATGTATAGACTTACACACATATATATACATAAATACACACAAACACACATACAGACTCGTTTCTCATTCTTTTCTTTTTTTTAATTTGGGAAAATACAACATCCATATACCAACCAACCAACCATATTGAAAAAATATTTATATTGACCCCAATAGTTTCAGAGTCAAAATATTACAGGCATCATTAAAAAATCTTTTGAGGCCAGGCATGGTTGCTCACGCCTGTTATCTCAGCACTTTGGGAAGCTGAGACAGGAGGATCATTTGAGGCCAGGAATTCAAGGCCAGCCTAGGCAACATAAAGAAGCTCTGTCTGACCAAAAACAAACAAACAAATAAACAAATAAACAAAAAATACCAAAAACCTTTGATGGTGTATTAGTCCATTTTCACACTGCTATAAAGAATTACCCGAGACTGGGTAATTTATGAAGAAAAACGTTTTAATTGACTCACAGTTCCACATGACTGGATGGGCCTCAGGAAACTTACAATCATGGCAGAAGGCAAAGGGGAAACAAGGCACGTCTTAAACGACACCAGGAGAGAGAGGGGTGGGGGGAAATGCCACACTTTTAAACCATCAGATCTTGTGAGAACTCACTCGCTATCATGAAAACAGCATGGGGGAAATCCACCCACACGATCCAATCACCTCCCACCAGGATCCTTCCTTGACACATGTGAATTACAATTTGAGATGATATTTGAGTGGGGACACAGAGTCAAACCATATCAAACGCTATTATACATTCCATTTTCTACACTATAATTTCAGTAATAACCACTATATTCAAGTTGCTATTCATCCTTTCCAAATAACATTTTTTAAACTTTTTACTATGTGTCTGTGTATATATGCGTATCTCCATAAGCAAGCGATATGATAACACTTTGATTAGTTATTTTCCTATCCATATGTCATTTTTGTTTTGTAATAATAGTTTTTAATTTATTTTTGTTATCTTAATACAGTGCTTTGAACTCCCAATTTATTGTAGAAAATAAGCAGAATAGTACTTATTCTTGTTTTTTACCAGAAACATATCACAATTCAATAAAAAGGCATTTTCTACATTTTCATAAACATCTTTCATCACATCGTAATTTGCCTAGTATTCCTATTTTGTTAAGAATGTTATCAAGAACATCTTGAAAGGTTGCAAATACTTTTTCTCAATCTACTATATTATCATACGACATTTCTATTTTATTTTACTATGTGTTGGAAAATAACATTATCTATTCTTGCATTTCTAGACTATATCTTATTTGGTGATGACATAATGTTATCATCTTTGTTGTTTTTAAATACACAGTTAGATTTGTTTTGTTAATATTTCAATGTGTGTTTATGCTCATAAATATGATTGGAGTGTACTTATTTGATACTCTTATCAATCTCCTTTTGTGATATCAAGGATATTTAGTTTCAGGAATAAGATGACAGATTTCTCTGACTGCTTCAAGTTTTGGAAAGCCTTTGGTGAAGAGAGAGATTGTTCTGTTTTTTTCTTTAAATTTGTGTATAATAGTCTAGTGATTTTTTAATTTTTTATAAGGCAGAGATTTTTGAGAGAATATATATTAAAATTATACAGATGATACTTAGTTTCAGGTATAATCATATGTTCTACTTTTAGGAACTGAATTTAGCACTAAAACATATTTATTTCCTCTTTTCTCAAATGTATTTTGATAATTTTTATTTTAAAGTCTGTACCATATGTAAGTTATGCATTGTTTTTTATTTCCCCAAAATAAGGCAGAAATACTCATAATTATCATAATCTTATTAGGACCATGTGGTTTTATCTGGTGTTTATATAACTACTTTATTTCACTACCCCTTGCATCCTTCATTGCCCTCAGCAAGCACCTCAGTTGATCCTGGCTTCTTACCTAGGGTGGTGATCAAACCATAATTCTTGGATCATTAGCATTCCTCTCTGATTTGGACTGTTGTAGTTTTTCATTGACTTCAAATATAAATCCTGGGAGGAACAGGAGGTGCCCTATGAAATTTCCCACATTCTATATCAACTTCTTTATCAATTCAGTCTCTCCTTATTAGCCACGATCAACCTCAGCCCCCTCAGCTAGTCCACAACCCCTATCTTTGACTGTTGACTCAGAAACTGGAAGAGCAAAATGTTCCAAAGTGGGGAGATCTCAATATCCAGTTCAATTGTGTACTTTTTTTTTACTTTGGTGAAAGCTTTTCACTCTTCTTTAACATTTTGTTTATACAAATTTATGGGATAAAAGTGTAATTTTATTACATGAATAAATTGTGTAGTGGCGAAGTCAGGGATTGTAGTGTATCCGTCACTAAAATAATGTACATTTTACTCATTAAGTTATTTCTCATCATCCACCCCCTCCCACCTTCCTGCCTTCCAAGTCTCCACTGTCTATCATTCCACACTTACAACCACGTGTACACATTATTTAGCTACCACTTATAAATGAGAACATGCTATATTTGTATTCCTGTATCTGAGTTATTCCACTTAAGATAATGGCTTCTAGTTCCATCCATCTTGTCTCAAAATACATTATTTCATGATTTTTTTTACTGTATTAGTATTTTATTAGGTATATACACCACATTTTCTTTATCTAGTGGACACTTTTAGGTCGATTCCAGTTTTTGCTAGTGAGAATAGTGCTGTAATAAATATACAAGTGCATATATATATATATATATATATATATATATATATATATATATTGCCTTTGGGTTTGATATCCAGTAGCAGGATTTCTGGATCAAATGGTAGTTTTTTGAGAAATCTCTATACTGTTTTCCACAGACATTGTACTAATTTACATCCCTACCAACATCTGTTATTTTTTCTTTTTAATTATAGTCATTTGATTGGTGTAAGATTATATCATTGTTTTAATTTGCATTTCTCTGGTGATTAGTGATGATAATGTTTTCTTAACTTTGTTGGTCATTTTTATGGCTTCTTTTGAAAAATGTCTATTCATGTCTTTTGCCAAGTTTTCAATAGGATTATTTGTTTTTTGTTGTTGTTGAGTTGAGTTCTTTGCAAATTCTGTATATTAGTCCCCTATTGAATATATAGTTTGCCAATATTCCTCCTATTCTGCAGGTTGTCTATTCACTCTGTTGATTATGATTATTATTATTAGCTTTGAAAAAGCTTTTAAGTTTAGTTAATTCCCATTTGTCTATCTTTGTTTTTATTGCCTATGCATTTAATTTCTTAGGAATGAATTCTTTACCGAAACTGATGTCCAGAAAAGTTTTTCTTTTAGTATTTTACAGTTTTAGGTCTTATATTTTAAGTCTTTAGTCCATCTTGAGTTGATTTTTTTTTATATGTGAGAGATAGGGGTCCAGTTTTATTCTACTGTGTATGACAATCCAATTTTCCTGGCACGACTTTTTGAAAACAATGTGTTTTACCCAGTGTATATTTTTGTCAATTTGTAAAAAATCTGTTAGCTGTAAGTATGTGGCTTTGTTTCCGGGTTCTGTATTCTGTTCCATCAATCTATGTGACTATTTTAATACCTGTACCATGCTGTTTGGTTACTATAAGCTTGTAGGGTAATTTGAAGCCAGGTAATGTGATGCTTCTACAACTGAGACGTTTCCATTGTTCTGTAACAATATTATTGCACGCTTAGTGGCTGAAAACAACATACTTTTTTTTTTTTTTTTTTGGTTCACAGTTTCCAAGAGTCATAACCCAGGAACTGCTTAGCTGGCACCACTTTTTAGGGACTCACGAAGCTTCAATCAAGGTATTGGTCAGGGCTTGGTTTGCATATGAGGGCTTGACTGAAGAACATGATTCCTCACTCGTGGTTGTTGGCAGAGTTCAGTTCCTTCTTGTTATACAATTGAGGACTGAAGTTTATTGCTAGCTATTTAATAGAGGCCATCCTTAACTCATTTTCTTCAGTGCCTGGAAGCCAGCAAAGTTTTTTTTGCCATATGGTGTCACAGAACATGTCAGCTTACTTTTTCACAGCTATCCATAGAAGGAAAGACTCTAAGAAAACAAGTGCTACCATCATATTAAAAGTAATAGTAATCAGATAATCACCAGCACTTAATAATGTATATTCTATCATCTTTGCCTTTTTCTATTGGTTAGAAGCAAGTCACAGTCCCCTCCATACTCAAAGAGAAGGAATCACACAAACACATGCAAACCAAGAGGAACAGGGCCACCTTCAAAATCTGTCTGCCATGATACACACAAACATATATTTCCATATATATATATATATATATATATATATACACACACACACTTAATATACATATATACTTACTTTTATATCAAAACATGCAGATATTTGTAAGATCTATACTTGAAAAGAGTTTTTTTTAATAAACTGTTCCTTTTATCTTTGAAATGATTTATTTCTTACCATATAACACATTTTCCCTTAAAGACATCTTTGCTGGTAATGACCTTATTACACTAGCATACTTTTAATTAATCTTGTTTCATCTCTTTACTTTCATTTTTTTGGTCATGTTTCAGTAACATGTAAATAGCATATAGGTCATATTAGATTTTTTAAATTTAATCTGTGATTTTCTGTCTTATAGGTAACTTTAACCCTTTATTTTTGAAGGCTATTGTATTATGTGGCATGTTATTAAATGTTTTATATTACCAATATTTTGGTAAAATTTTATCTTGTGTTATTATAACTAGTAAGCTTTATTTTCTTTTACCCCATTTTTCTTTCACTGTTGGTATATATACATCATATTTTGAATAGTCCTTTAAAGACATAAAAGTTTAACATCTTTACTTGCAATTTAATCAATATTTTTTCTTTCTTAATTGAGTAGTGACAATATTTTACCTTTTATTCTCAGCTACCAATACTTTTACATTTTCTTAAATTAGTCATTTTACATAAATTTTCATAGTAAACTATTATTTAAAATGACCTATATATTGACCAAATTTTTGGTTTATTCATATTTCTTATACTTCCATATATATATTTATGGTTTTGGTTTATTTCTTATTTATGTACATAAGATGATAAGCACCCTGTGTTTTTATTTATAAAATATATTTAATTCCTGTGTGTTTTTGAAGTTCCATAGGAGATGATTATTTTCTCAAATTTAGTACATATTTTAACTTTTTATTATCATGTTTGTTTTTCTCATATGTATGTATTCATTAAAATTATCACCATTTTGCCACCCTTTAAGTGGTGTTACATGGTGTTGGTCCGAAGATACAGTGATGTCAGTGATACTGGAACACTTTTTTTGTGTCGACTGCTTACTTGGAGTTCCTAAACCGCCACCAAGGAGATAGTAGGGAAGACTAATGCTTCAATGTCTCTTGGGTATAATATCTTCCCATCTGTGATGGCTAATACTGAGTGTCAACTTGATTGGATTGAAGGATGCAAAGCATTGTTCCTGAGTATCTGTGAGAGTGTTGTCAAAGGAGATTAATATTTGAGTCAGTGGACTGGGAGAGGCAGACCCACCGTCAGTCTGGGTGGGCACCATCTCATCATTCGTCAGCATGGCCAGAATAAAAGCAGGAACAAGAACGTGGAAAACCTGAACTGGCTAAGTCTTCTGGCCTCCATTTGTCTTCCATGCTGCGTGCTTCCTGCCCTCAAACATCACACTCCAAGTTCTTCAGCTTTTGGACTCTTGGACTTACACTAATGATTTGCGGGGTCTCTTGGGCCTTTGGGCCTTTGGCCACAGACTGAAGGCTGCACTATCGGCTTCCCTATTTTAGAGGTTTGGGGACTCAGACTGGCTTTCTGGCTCCTCAGCTTGCAAGACAGTCTATTGTGGGACTTCATCTTGTGATCGTGTGAGTCAGTACTCCCAATAAACTCCCCTTTATGTGTGTATGTATACGTATATGCATGTATATATATATATATATATATATATATACACATACATATATATATGTGTGTATATATATATATATATATATATATATATATACTATTAGTTCTATCCATCTAGAGAACCCTAATACACCATCCAAATACCTAACATGGATATAAACTTTATAACCACTTGTCTGAGCTATTGAGATACGTTTTATACTTTCTGTTAACCACAAGTGTTTTGAGGTATAAGTTATAGATACAAAACATCTTATAAATGCATATTATTGAAAATCTATACTCATTACTTTCTATTATAGATGTAAAGTCTTCACATTCTTTTGTCTTTCTCAGGTTTTACTAAAAAGGTACACATTTACTCTTTAATTTTACTATTCTTACTTAACACTTTAATAAGAATAGCCCAATGTTATTATAATAGAGTGGAAATACTAGATAATTTATCTTGCTATTCTTTCCAAAATATTTTATCTTTCACGAAGAGCCCTCTCGATGGGAGATTTCTTATCTGTTAAATATGAATATTTTTATTTTTGATTCCTTTGAAAAATTTTCCATCTTTCACACTTCTTTTAGGGTATGATTTTCCTTATAATTGTGCACATTTTTTTCCTCTAATCCATGTATAACAGCTCCTGTTGTTTCCTCATCCCATTAGGGACAGCAAGCTTTACTTTTATTGCTTCCCACACTAAGAACACCTTCCCACCACACAGGAACTATGTGGGCTCCCAAGGCTTCTTTAAATATATACAGAACACCATATCTTTTGTCAAATTCTCCTACACTGATCTGCTATACATAGTTGCTATTTTACTTTTGATTTTTCTCATGTATTTTCATTGAACTTAGATTTTTGTATTATAAGCAAGAGACTTGTATTTTTATAACACAAATAGGAATAAAACATGTTTATAGAACTATATACATTATGTAAGTGCAGTGATATTTTAAAGTAATACTGTTTCTAAATGTTTGTGGTATTTTCATCAAATTATTTAATTTATAACTATACACTATATATAATATATAAATAATGCATTGATATATATTGTAACTATCACCAAATGATTGTAAAAAATAAAGAACCACAATATATTCTTGTCATTCATGACTGTTATATTCTATAAAGTGGCTGTGAACATTTAATTTGCGAATACACAACCATTACTCCAAGAAAAAATACAGAGTTAGGTTCCTAAGGACCTTTGGTCAAATATTCATCTACTGCTCAATATTTAACCTTGTTTTATATGTGTTTCTGTTTAAAGACACCATATTTAATATATCTCATTGGTTAATTAATATTGAAATCATGGCCAACACCATTATAACTCATACCTGAAGGAATCTTACTAACACACCGATTTTCTCTATAGGAAACATCATAGCTTTCTTGTGCTTAGAAACATTAGACTGCTCCAGTACTATGCTTGGGTACTATTTTAATTAGTAACAACACCAAGAGGAAAATGCAAAATGTGGAAAACATGGCATTAGACTGCAAAAGGGACATATTTAAAGTATGAGAACTAAAACAAGAAGGCGGAGTGTCACCTTGTGGGAACTCAGCTGAAAATGTGCATGTCAATTGGTTCAAATTTCTCGCTGTTCTGCATATGTTCATGATGACCATGAATGTGACATGAGTATTGACTGTTGGAGTTACAAATACATTTTAGTAAGATAATTTGTAAATATTTATTCCATCAATTATAAGGATTGACTGCACTTATTTGAATTAATCTAATTATAAAATGCTTCTAATTGCCTGAAGCTAGATGATCAGATATGAGAGTTTATCATAACTTTATATGTTGACAAACTAAAATGATTTTAAAAACAAAATTATCCAATTAATTCAAGCTTTTAACCTAAATGAAAATAAAATTGCTGTAATAGTGAAGAAAATCAGAAGAAAATTATTAGCAACCAGCTTGCTTATCTTTTTTTACTGTTTTAACTAGTATAAACTCATATATTTCTCTCTGTGGTGAAGTTTTTCCTTCCGACTTGACACGATTGCCATACAAATTATTGGGCAATTGTAACAAATTTCCATTCTCTGTACTAGATGCTTAAATGAAAACAAATTAAATTTATTTTTAATTTTTGTGCACTTTGTGTCAACATGATTGTGAGATTTGCTGTCATTGAATGTTTAGGTTGCAAAGTTTGGTTACTTTAAATTATAATAGGCATTATCAAATTTCTTTTTAAAATAATCTTTCCAATATAACTTCAACTTTCAGTGAGTACAATTTCTTATTGATTCAAATCCACTCGAATGTTTCATGTTTTCAAAATCTTTTAAAAGTGTTCTGTGTGTGGGAGTCTTAATTTTTGTTTTTGTAATTAGTACTAGTGGATTTGAGCATTTTCTTATGTAAAAAACGGCCCAAAACAACAAAAATAAGATTATGGCCAATAATTTCAATGAACTGAGATATTATGTTATATAGATGCATAGAATTATATAAATTAATATTAAATTTATCAAGTAAATAAATATATAATTCAAAGTATATGAAAGCAGGAAAAGTACAAAATTGGAAGAAAATGTGAAGAAGAATTTTGATTTCTTTTTGGGTTACTGTACTGTGCTAGTTTTTTTTTTTTGCTTGTTTTTGTTTTTGTTTTTGTTTTTTGCATTGCTATAAAAACTACCTGTTGCTGGGTAATTTTTAAGGCAAAGAGGTTTAATTGGCTTATGGTTCTGCAGACTGGACAAGCATGACACTAACATTTGCTCAGCTTCTAGTGAGGGTCTCAGGAAGCTTGTAATCATGGAGAAGGTGAAAAGGAAAGCTGGTGTATCACATGATGGGAGAAAGGGCAAGAGAGCAAGAAGCGAGGTTTCACGCACATTTAAGCAACCAGATCTCGCAAGGAATTACTCACTATCAGGAGGACAACACCAAGCCATTCATGAGGGATCCACCTCAATAGTCCAAACATCTCCCACCAGGCCCCACTTCCCGCACTGGGGATTGCACTTCAACAAGAGATTTGGAGGGGACAAGCATCCGATAAGCAATAAAGCAATTGATTCAGTAATTGATATCCTATATATATCCAAAATGTATCAATTACTGGATCAATTGCTTTATTGCTTACAGGAGTTTTCATATATTTTATATTTTCCTGAGAGTGACATAATTGAGGTAATTTACATTTTTTAGTAATTTGTCTATTTCATACTTAAAACTTTTTGTAATTAAATATTTCAAGATAGTTATATTAATGTCATTTTTTTCATCTCCAATATTGGTTATTTATCCTTTCTGTTCTCCTCCCACCCCCTACATTTGTTCCTGGTTAGTCTTTCCTAAGGTTTATTTCTTAAGATTTTCAATCAGATTGCACTTGACTTTATCCATGTTCTTGTATGCTTGTTCTGTCTCATTACTTCTTAATCCAATCAATTTTATTTCCTTTCTTCAACCTTCTTTAGGTTTAAGTAACATGTATGGTCCCTAATTTCCTGAATTCGATGCTTATGTCACTCAGTTTTATTTATTTTTTCTTTTTAAATATATACATGTAAACTCAGATTATTATTTTTAAATACTGCTTTGATTTCATCCTACAGGATTTTTATGTGCAGTGTTTTTATTATACTTAGTTGAAAATAGTTTCTAATTTTCATTGTGATTTTTATCTTTTTTATATATTTTATTCCTATGTGTACATATTAATTTTTATAAATATTAGGAATTTTTAAGAATGCTTTTAATATTGATTTATAATTTAATTACTTTATGATGTTATGACATATTGATTTATAATTTAATTTATAATTTATAAATTATTTATAATTTACTTTATGATGTTATGACATATTGATTTATAATTTAATTACTTTATGATGTTATGACATATGCCACAGGATTTCAATCCTTTGAAATATGCTGAGCTTTATGGAACATCATATGGTTAATTTTGTAAATGTTCTATATGTGCCACAAAAATCTATTTTCTAAATTTTAATATTCTATGTTGTAAGTTGAAGTTTACCACATTTTATATTTATACTGCAATTTTACTACCTGTTTTAATTTATGAGCTAGATATGTATATGCATTAAAATATCCTATTATATTTGTGCATTTATCTCTTCTGTTTCAGTAAATATTTGCTATTTATATTTTCAGGTATATTATTAAGTTCCTACAATTTTAAAAATACTAAGTCTTTTTAATGAGTTGAAAGTTTACTATTATGAAACAAACCTCTTTGTACTAATAATGTTTCAGGAAATAAAATCTACTTTATCTAGTATTACATAGTTTCACTACTTTTTTGTTTGTCTGGTGGTTTATCTTTTTTTATTCTTAAATATGATTATCTTTATTTTTTAGATAAATATTTTATAAACAGTATATAGTTTCTTTTGTTCACTACAACAATATTTATCTTTTATCTGGGACATTTAACATTCTTATTGATAAATTTAATTTACACCAATTTATTTTGTATTTTCAGTTTTCTCAAACTTTGTTCATTTCACTCCCTTCATACCATCTTTTCATTCATCACATATTCCTTACTAACTTGTCTCCACTATTTCAATACCATGGGCTCTATTTTATATGTAGTTCATATATTTTGAACACTCTTGTTTATCAAGAGTTTTAACTTCAGATTTGGTCCAAACTTGGCCAGTTGAATGTGGATGACAGTTATAATGTGCCAACTATGAGATAAGGCTGAAGATGCATCACTTATTTCCACCTGACCTCTCACATTTCTACAATCACTGTAAGAGTGTACTACCTAGCTAGTCCAAAGAGGATGACTTATGGACCAAATATAAAGCCAACCTCTAGCTTTGACCCTAGGGTAACTAAGCACTGCCCAGATCAGGTTTGTCTCAAATAACCCTCTGATTAATGGGAATAAATGTTTGTGCACTAAGGTTTTTGTTTATTATTCAATTTTAGCTGACAGATGCATTCTATTTTAAAACTTTTCTTCAACTGAATTACATATACCACAAGTTTACATTTGTTGTAACATTACTTTCTTTTCTAAAATGTACTTATAGAACTGTCTAATTTTTTATAATAAAAACTAAAATTATCAGCCTGAGCTTCTATTTTCTGACCGTCAGTATCGTCCTGTGAGTTACAGTCCTCCATCAAACCACTGAGTAGCAAATATCTTCCCACCTTATGCATAAAATATCCTGCTATTAAAAAGTATTCTCATTTCCCAGTGTACATTGTTCTGTTTTTCTAAGAAGACGTCACTCTCTGAATTGCTCTTCTAATCCATCTTTCTACTTTTTTACTGAAAATTGCTAAGAGCTTGGGGGCATTATTCATTATGTTGTTTATTCTAGTAATAAATTCACTTCGTCCATTCTAAAATTAATATTCTTTTCGTTTCTTATATATTCACTCATTTACTTCTAAAGATGTTTAACAATCAAATTGCAACTTAGGAAATAACGTAAAGAACGTCTTCGTGATGCTGTTTTGCTTCACAGCCCTCAGAAAATGTGTAATGTGTTTTATGGTAGGTGGGCTCTAATCCAATTTGTGGTGTTTTTAAAAGAAGAGGAAATTAGACATACACACAGAGAGACACCAGGATCATGGGTGCACAAAGGTGCATGTGAAGAAGTAGCAAGAAGGTGGAACCATGTGAAGAAGTAGCAAGAGGGTGGTCATCTGCAAACCAAGCAGAAGCCTAAAATAGATCATTCCCAAATGACCTTCAGAAAAAAACATCCCTTCCAGCACTTTGACCTTTGACTTCTAACCTCCACAACTGAGAATAATAAATTTCAGTTGTTTAAGGGCCCAGTCTGTGGTATTTTTTTATGCAACCCCAGCAGCTTAATACAGATGTTTAAAATAATAAATAATTTAATTAAGAGAGTAAGTAATACATATCTTCTCATTCTAGACTCATTAATTTAGGGATCTGTGAAGGAAAAAGTTAACACTTCAGGTTTGTTTGCTTGGTCCTTTCGTTTTCCAAGAAAGCCTGGGCAGAGACATGATTGACACCTAGCCAACACCCTGGGAACATAGCCCTTGAAGGCTACCTGTGTTAATGATTGATCATTTTGCTTCTTACACATAGAGAAATGGATTAGGCCATTCCAGGTTGTCAGTGTTGCATTACACAAACATTATTGTTGACAGTATGTACCTGGTTTCACTGCTAAGGTACTGAGTTTTGGTTACTATGGCAGGTTCCACAGCATAACGCACACAGAGAGTTATTCTCCTCTTTCTACAGAGTCAGTGTTACTGTACTGCAATGAATGTGTGATAATATGTAAACTATTGCCAACCAAAAAATCTCATCCAAGCCTCAATGACCACCCGCCCCATCACAATGTTGTTTTTTGGGGCATAGTCAGCCCCTACTCTAAACGCTTTCTGGTGTAGCCAGTCTCTATCATAGGTCACATGTTTAGATTATCTGGAATAATCTAACGTCTGCAGGAAAAGAAAAACATTTGTATGAAGCCTGATACTTCGTGATTACCTTCCCAGAAACAGAAGGCAAAAACCATATCTAACTTCTCATTTCCTGTAAGGTTAAATTCTTTACTATACATTTTTTTATCTGCTGCTAATATATACATATATATGTGTGTATACACATGTATGCATATATATCTGTATGTGTATATGTAAGCATACATATGTGTATATGCATATATGTAATACACATGTATATATGCTTATATTTACATATGTGTGTATGTATGAGTGTATATATGTATATCTAAGCATACATACATATATACACTTATATATAGAAATTTTAGAAGAGAATACAGATTTTAAAATCCTGGCCAGGTGCAGTAGCTCACATCTGTTATCCCAGCACTTTGGGAGGCCAAATGGGGTGGGTCACTTGAGCCTAGGAGTTCAAACGCAGCCCGGGCAACATTATGAAACCCTGTCTCTATTTAAAAAAGAGGGTAATTAAAGATGCTGATCCAAGGGTTTCAATACATACATATATACACTTATATATATACACACATATATACACACACACACACATATATAATAAACCGTAACCATATATATAACCTGCTGTTCAGTCCTTTGAGTTCTATGCAGTACGTAAACTCTGGAGTGGTACTGAAACCCTTGGATCAGCATCTTTAATTACCCCCTTTTTTTAATAGAGACAGAGTTTCATAATGTTGCCCAGGCTGCGTTTGAACTCCTAGGCTCAAGTGACCCACCCCATTTAGCCTCCCAAAGTACTGGGATTACAGATGTGAGCCACTGCACCTGGCCAGGATTTTAAAATCTGTATTCTCTTCTAAAATTTCTAGACTTGTAGAAGAATCCCTTATCTCCCTCTTAAGATCTGTTACTAGCCTTTTGGTAGAAGACAATGCAGAGATTTCTCCTTAATAACACAAAATATGCCTTACTCAATTTGCACCCACACTCTTTTCTGACAATTGGACCTGTGGCAGCACAACCTACGTGGGGATGTGTTGGGCCTATAAGGAAGACACTATACCCAAAGGAACTAAAATACACAACCTGTGTGTGCCAGTAGAGATTAAGCATTGACAAATTACACAAAAATTTGGGTTCTATGCGTGGTTGATCAGGGGGTGGGAATAGGGTGGATCATAAAGAGACTTTTGGATCAGGGTATTCTCTTCCAAAATATAAGGTTTAACTCAGTAAGGACCCAAGTACATAATACAAACTACTTATGAGGATTGATCCAAAAAGCATTGGGAAAATGATGGCTTAAGCTAAAAAAGTTTGAAATAGCAGAATTGTTGTAGGACTAATAACTTGAGGAAATAGACATACTGAAATGGGTATTATGCATATTGCCAGGAGACACACTGGATTATTATATTCTTAAAGAAGGTTCAAAAAAGACACAATTCACCAAGGCAACCAGGACTGCTGCTGAGGGGGACGTTGGCATGACGTTGGCATGACGTTGGCATGACTGGGAATTAAATTGAAGTTTAAGCTTGTCTAATAAATTAGTATTACCTTGTTCTTCCTCAATTCAGTATCCAAAATAATTTCAAAGAGTAATCTTTAGGCTTCAAATCTAAATACATTTTGGTTTTATTGTGTCTGTTAAACCTTATATGCCCTGTAGAGAGTAACACAGAGAAGCCACTTATTTGGGGGGATTAATATGTTTTTAAACATGGTTAATCACAACATTCTTCTAACGCTTTCTACCACAATAGAAATTCAGAGAATCCAAATATATTCTGCTAAAATAGGTTCCTTAAATAAGGAATCAGTACACAGAACCTGTGTGTGCCAGTCATCCATCTGCTTTTCATGTTCTCAAATTACTATCTTTTATTCTCATTATTTGTTCTTGTGTATTTGTATTATTTTAACATACTTGTCTTTTAAGTATAATTTATTCAGAAAATTGGGCAAATCATAAGCTTACAGCTGCATGAACTAGCAAACATTTTAAACAGCAAAGGTTAATGAATTTAACAACAGTAGCAACCAGAACTTACACCTCTAACCCCCCTCAATTACCACCCCTAGTCTTACTGTGACTGTTAATTACTTTGGGCCATTTTTTAAACATTCCATAAATGAAATAATATTGTAAATACACATATATGTCTAAGTGCATAGGTTCCTTCATCTTTCAGTATATTTCTATTCATTTGATTTAAGTTGAGTAATTGGTACACCAAATTTTATGTATTCTTTCTAAAGACGGTGAATTTTTAGTTTGGCCATTATCAATTAATCTGTTATGAATATTTGTGTTGCGAATGTTGATAGACATAGACATTTACTGCTCCTGGCTGTGAAATTTTTGAGTTACAGAAATGTCTTATGTATAGCTTTGCCAGATTTTCAATCATTTTTTCAACACATTTGTATAAATTTTTACTTTCAGCAGAAAAATATGAGTGTTCCACTTGCTCCATAATTGAGACAACATTTGGAATGATCAGATTTTACTATTATTTGAATCGAGTTTTGAGTCAGAGGGAAGGAAGTAAAGCTATACCATTTTTAAATATTTCAATGGATGCATCTGTAAAAATTAATGTTCTTTGGAATTTTTATTAATATATTGTAAGTTTTGATGATTGAACTAATTGTTCATGAAACTAACATTAATCAAATTTTTTTGTTATTATCTAAGAATGAGTAATGGACCTTGCTTGAGATTCATCCAAAGGGGAGGACAAGATAAACCTGTATAGTTATTAATTTTATGTTCCACCTTGGCTATGCTATGTTGTTTGGTTAGACTCTGGTATAGATGTGGCTGTCAAAGTATTTTGCACATGTGATTATTAACATTTACAGTTTACCTCTAGTAAAGGAGATACTCTCAATAATATGTGAGGACCTCATTCAATCAGTTGAAAGCCTTCAGAGCAAAACTGAAGTTTCCCAGAGAAGGAGTAATTCCACCAGAAGACTGTAACCTAAAGATCCTGCCTGAGTTTCGCCTACTGATTTTGGGATGAAGATTGCAACTTCAACTCTTGCCTCAGTTTCCATGCTGTCAGTCTGCCCTACAGATTTCAGACTTGCCAGCACCAACATGAGCCAATACCTTGAAATCAATTGCTCTCTCTCTTCTGTTATTTTATGTGTGACATAATTTGAAATCACACTCCCACTTATTGATTATCTGTTTAACAGTTGATGGTGAGTACAGAGTCATTTGAATGTTAGAATATGCCATACGTATTAGTTTGCTAGGGGTGTCATACAAAGTACTACAAATGGGCTGGAAAACAAACAAAACAAAACAGAAGTTTATTGTCTTACAATTCTGGAATCTAGAAGTCTGGAATCTGGAAGTCTGAAATCAAGGCATTGACAGAGTTGGCTGTTATGAGAGCTGTGAAGAAAGAATCTGTTCCAGTTCTCTACCCTTGGCTTATAAATGGCTATCTGTATCTTTACATGGTAAACTTTGTGTGTGTCTCTGTGTCCAAAATTTCCTTCGTTATAAGATCAGTGATATTTGATTAGGGACCCATCCTACTCCAGTACGACCTAATCTTAAGTAATTACATGTGCCCATAACCTTATTTCTTTCTTTCTTTTCTTTTTTCTTTTCTTTTTTTTTTTTTTTTTTTGAGACAGAGTCTCACTGTGTTGCCCAGGCTGGAATGCAGTGGCATGATCTTGGTTCACTGCGACCTCCACCTTCCAGGTTCAAGCAATTCTCATGCCTCAGCCTCCTGAGTAGCTGAGATTACAAGCCCATGCCACCATGCCTGGCTAATTTTTTTGATTTGTAGTAGAGACAGGGTTTCACCATGTTGCCCAGGATGGTCTCAAACTCCTGAGCTCAGGCAATCTCAAGGCCTGCCTCAACCTCCCAAAGTGCTAGGATTACAGGCATGAGCCACCACGTCAGGCCCATGACCTTATTTCTTAATAAGATCACATCCTGGGGATTAGGACTTTAACACATACTTTTGAGAAGGACACAATTCCACCCATAACAGCATGGGAAACTTGGACTTGGAAATTCCCTTTGATTTTAATTTTTAGAATATTAAGAAATAAGGTAATATTTCTTTTTCTCCACAACACTTTAAATCTGTTGTTTAAAATTATGGCTTTATACATTTTATGATCTGATGTACTAAGATTATTTTTAAATTAGCTTTTCAACTCATTTTCTCATTTCATTTATATTTCCTGAAATATCAAAATTTGGTGAGATTCTTTTTGACAGCTGCATTCTAATCCGTTACTATGCCACCAAGCTACTTGATATTTTTATTAAAAAATTAAAACTGTAATAAAATTATATTTATGAGTTAACTGTATTCATCTCATCTCTCACCCCCCCTACAATATATGGCATCAAAACTTGTATGTGACTCATAGATATGTATGATTTTCTTCTCTGAAATCTACTAATAAGTAAATATTCTTTTTTTTTAGGCTTGATAGGACTTATTAATATTAGGCTATTGTATCTTCACCATTTTTTATAAATTGCCAGTAAAGAAAACCTAACCCACCTCTACTGTGATTACTCAGGAAGAATAAATGCTTCAGCTCCTTGCTTGCTGGAGCAAATGCTTCTCTCATCGAATCTGTTCAGGATACTTCAAAAACACATATAGACTTTGGATAATCCTGTTCATTCATTAAAAAAAAGTATACTTTAAGACACACTTCTGATATTTGTTTGTATTTTTGTGGAGAAGTTGCATGCTGATAATGAGCAATATATTTATTCTTCTATAACCTTAACTATTCAGTTGTGGAGGGCGTAAAATATATTCTAAATTGTATGCTGCAGGAAGTATTGCCATTCAAAGTGAACATAATTACTTACTTAGATTAAGCAAGCCTTCCCAATGTTGACATTTATTGTATGTATTTACATGTTGTAAAAAGCTTCAAAATGCATGTGATTTAGTAAAAAAAAAAGTGAATAATACGTTCTCAAAACCACCGGTGACAAGTACATTAAATTGTTTTTATAAGTATATGTTTGTGTGCCTTTTGCTTGTAATTTAGACTAAACCTCTATCTGAGTTTATGTTACTAATAAAGCTTATTAATATAGATGAGTTTAGGGTCAATGTTTGATTGTGAGAGCATATGCCTGCTCATGTTGACCTGCTCTTAAAACTCCAATTTATAAAATAATCAACACCATTTAATATGGATATGCCAAATAAATAATCTGGGAAACAATAACAAAAAAATCAAATTGTGTTTTACTTTTGGATGATCAACAGTAGCAGAGATTTTGTATATTCTCATCTTACTGGGTGGGAAATTAGTACCATTATTCTCCATGCATCTCTGTGCTTGTTAAATACCATAGGATAAAATCAATTGTCAATAAAATTATATTCAAAAGCTTCAAAGTTCTATAAATAATAGAAACCCATAAAAAACAGAATCTTTAGTATAGGATATAATTAAAATTTTCCTTTTGCTGATGATAGTGGTAGTAGTGATTTGAAAGCCATTAGTGATTCTAACGATAACAGTTATAATATACTACTCCCATTTCTTAAAATGTGAATTACACATAGATGGGTAATATAGTTTGGCTCTGTGTCCCTACCCAAATCTCACTTTGAATTGTAATAATCCCCATATGTCAAGGGAGGGACCAGGAGGAGATAATTGAAACATGGGGGCAGTTTCACCGTGCTAGTCTCATGATAGTAAGTGAGTTCTTACGAGATCTGATGGTTTTATCAGGGGCTTCCTCCTTCGATCGGCACTCATTCACTTTCCTGCAGCCCTGTGAAGAGGTGTCTTCCACCATGATTGTAAGTTTCCCGAGGCCTCCCCAGACAGGCAGAACTGTGACTCAGTTAAACCTCTTTCCTTTATAAATTGCCCAGTCTCGGGTATTTCGTCATAGCAGCATGAGAATGGACTAATACAATGGGTATTATGTTCTTCTATGGGTATAAGCATGATCTATTTCACTGCTGAAGAAAGAACAGACGAGGAGAATTGGAAATACCAGTTGTGACCACTGCACAGAAGTGTGATATCAGAGGAAATCCCCTTTATTTTATAAAGAAGCAAGCATCTGGTTAAATGTGGCAACTCAGAAAAAAAAATTAAATTGACTTAGTGTCCAGTCCAGGAAGGTTAAAGAAGAGTTTCTTCAATCTGTTCTGTCTGGCGTTAATATATCCTTAGAAATCAGTAAATTAGAGATGATGGAAAACATCTGGTCTGGACAAAAAAAGAAATATCTTGAAAGCTTCAAAACCAAAAAAGGTGAATGACCAAATAACTACTAATTCCTTACTTAAAATAATTCAGTAAATACAAAAAAAAAAAATCTTGAAAGCTTCAAAACCAAAAAAGGCGAACGACCAACTAACTACTAATTCCTTACTTAATATGTCACACAACACTTTCCTCAATCTTCATGACTCTGCTTTGGTTTATGGGAAAAAATAAGATCACTGTACACATGTAGAACCTGCCAAAACACCATTATATCACTTGAAAGGAGAAAGGTAAAAAGAGAAGAAGAATTATGAACCAAGTGATTATATTAGAATTTTTTTTTTAAATGTTAACTCATATGGAATTCAGTTAATATATTATAAAAGGAATGATTAAATCCAGCCCATGAGTTTGTATCTGCAAACAAGCAGCTATGGGGGCTGTGTCTGAAAAGCAACTACCAGGGCACCAGCAATTGCTACAGAAACATAGTGAGAATGAAGCTCTTTCAGAATGGAAGAATAATATTTTCTTTTACTGCGTTTTATTTATTCTTAATATTGCCATTTTCTATATTCCTGAATTGGTAGAGTAGAGCTGTAGAAAATCTCAGGAGAGCTCTTTATTCTCTCCTCTTGTGAACCTGAAATATTTCAACAAGTATCCACAAATGCTTCACCAATTTGCCAATATGTTATTATTAATACATAATTTCTCAAGTATGAATAATTATGAAAGAAAGAAAAACAAATAATCAAACAAACCCCAAAAAACCTAAGGGAGATGAAAATTTAAAAAAAAGCAAACAAACCAAACAAAAATATATACAGAAGTTGAATGAAACTATACAAATCAAGAAAAATAAGTATTACTTATTGTTGCTATTGTTGTAAGCTTTTAAGATTTTGGGGGCTGTTTATTAAGCAGCATTATTGAACTACACTGGCTAATACAATGCCAAAATTCCCAAGTAGCTAATGGAGCTATTGCAAAAACCACAGTACTGAGATGATTTTTTTCATGTATAACTGTAAATAACATTAGAAACATTTGATAATTTTTAAGCATTACTCCTTGATTTAAGCACTATTTATTTCAATAAAATAATCTAAAACTGGAGAATATGCAATAGTAGAAAGCACAGGTCAACCAATGTAACAATGCAAAGATTAAGAAAAGATTCATGTGTCTTTTGGCTGCATAAATGTCTTCTTTTGAGAAGTGTCTGTTCATATCCTTCACCCACTTGTTGATGGGGTTGTTTGTTTTTTTCCTGTAAATTTGTTTGAGTTCAGTGTAGATTCTGGATATTAGCCCTTTGTCAGATGAGTAGATTGCAAAAATTTTCTCCCATTCTGTAGGTTGTTCTGTAGGTCTCCCATTCCGTAGTTGTGCATTCTGATGGCAGTTTCTTTTGGTGTGCAGAAGCTCTTTAGTTTGATTAGACACAAGACACATGAAAAAATGCTCATCATCACTGGCCATCAGAGAAATGCAAATCAAAACCACAGTGAGATACCATCTCACTCCAGTTAGAATGGCGATCATTAAAAAGTCAGGAAACAACAGTTGCTGGAGAGGATGTGGAGAAATAGGAACACTTTTACACTGTTGGTGGGACTGTAAACTAGTTCAACCATTGTGGAAGTCAGTGTGGTGATTCCTCAGGGATCTAGAACTAGAAACACCATTTGACCCAGCCATTCCGTTACTGGGTATATACCGAAAGGATTATAAATCATGCTGCTATAAAGACACATGCACACGTAAGTTTATTGTGGCACTATTCACAATAGCAAAGACTTGGAACCAAGCCAAATGTCCATCAATGATAGACTGGATTAAGAAAATGTGGCACATATACACCATAGAATACTATGCAGCCATAAAAAAGGATGAGTTCATGTCCTTTGTAGGGACATGGTTGAAGCTGGAAACCATCATTCTTGGCAAACTATCGCAAGGACAAAAAACCAAACACCGCATGTTCTCACTTATAGGTGGGAATTGAACAATGAGAACACATGGACACAGGAAGGGGAGCATCACACACCAGGGCCTGTTGTGGGGTGGGGGGAGGGGGGGAGGGATAGCATTAAGAGATATATCTAATGTTAAATGACGAGTTAATGGGTGCAGCACACCAACATGGCTGCATATGTTGTATGCATATGTATATATGTAACAAACCTGCACATAACAAATAAACATATGTATATATATGTAACAAACCTGCACGTTGTGCACATGTACCCTAAAACTTAAAGTATAATAAAAAAAAAAAGGAGACCTGTCAGAAACTCTGGGAGAACAAAGTGATAGTTCACTTTGTGTGAACAAACATTGTGTGTTTCATGCACATCGATTCTCCCATTCTTCAGTAATTAAGACAATAAATAATAGTTGTTTGAAAAAAGATTCAAATTCATATCAAAATTTCTTTTATTAGTGAAAGTTAAATTTCAAAGTAGTGGAGAAATTTAATAAATCAATGGTTTTTTGAAGTTTTTATTTCATGAAATAGTAAACAAAATTTTAGATTATATGAGATACAACATGAAAGATATAACAAATAATTATTCAGAAAAATGCACTAGAAAGATGCACTTTTAACTGAATCTCACAATTAAAGTCCTTAAAATCCAATATGTAATTCCTGCATGTGTTAAATATCTTGAACTTTTTTAAGTTCTAAGAACAAGATTCAAAAACCCCTAAGATTTATATCGTAATATATTTTCTCTCTTATTGTCCAATTATAGAGAATTTTGAAATAAACTAAATAATAACAGATTAATGCCTAAATAAATTGAGGTCATTGGGAAAGTATAATTTATATGAAACTATGAAAATTATGTTTTTTAAGTTCCATATAATTGTCACGGTTTGATGAATTTAAAAGTGTATTTGTAGATATAAATTCCAATTTTATATATCAGATTTTTAAGAGGGGATTTTACAGTTGAAATATCAGTAAATCTTATCTTTTTTAAATGGTGGCATGTGTTATAAAATGTTTTGGAATACAGTATATCACAATAATAAAAGAAAACAGTTTAAAAATCTACTCTTGCTTAAAAGTTTCTACTACTAAAATGTAATATGGCAATATTTTCTTCTACATTTTGCTAATACACTACCTGGCTCCTCATTTTTTCAGCTTCAGTAATCTATAATTTAATACTGTCCATAAATAATCATTTTTGGCCTAGATTGAAGCTATTATTAGCAACTATTAGCAATACCTTTAGTGATTTTCAGAAGCAAGTGAGAAAAATATGTTATCATTATTATTCCATGTCAAATTCAAGTAACCATAATTAGAAAATTTAGGCTTTCAACATACGAAATAGAAAATTAGAGACTATGGACAGAGATCTAAAGTAATAACACACAATCTAATATTATTTAAAGAACCAATAAAACCTAGGCAGTGACTTTTAAGAGTTAAAAGATGCAAAGTCTTTTTTCAGAATCTCCGGTTTTACCTGCTTGGATTACGCGGATAGGTAATGGAGAAGGGCTGACTTTTGGGGAAACATGAATAACAATAAAATTACACAAGACACCTGATAGTGGAATAATGATACACCACTCCATTCATGTGAGGACTCCCAAATAATATGTTTTTTTGAATATTCTTCTTGGCAAGTTGTTGTTGTTGTAGTACTTTTGCTTCATATGTGAACTTACATAACTTGAATTTATAATATTACATATACTCACACATAGCTTGATAAGTCTTATTTAACTAATTAGGATAATTTAAACATATTCTCTACTTAATTTATTTTGAATTTAAGAAATAAAAAATAGTTCCAAGCCTAATAATTAGCAGACAAGAAAGTCATCATCAGAAATAAAGCTAAGTATTGCCAGGCGCGGTGACTCACGCCCATAATCCCAGCACTTTGGGAGGCAGAGGCAGGTGGATCGCTTGAGGTCAGGAGTTCAAGACCAGCCTGGCCAAGATGGTGAAACTCCATCTTTACGAAAAAATACAAAAATTAGCTGGGTGTGGTGGTGGGCGGCTTTAATCCCAGCTACTCGGGAGGCTGAACCTGGGAGGCGAAGGTTGCAGTGAGCCACATAGTGCCACTGCACTCCAGCCTGGGCAACGAAAGCGAGACTCAGTCTCAAAAAAAAAAAAAAAAAAAAAAAGCAAGCAAGCAAGCTAAGTATTAAAATAATTAGGTGTTTTGACAAAGATGCTTTGTTTGACCAAACTTTGGTCAGGCTCCTGAAACTTCTTTTAGGCCCAATTCTGCATTTCCTTATAAAATCTAATTTTAGCAAGAATGCTGTTAATTCAATTTAGCAATAACTACCCCTATCCCTGCCAGTATGTTATCATCCTTTGTATCTCATCAGGTTCCATATTCTCCACCACCCGTTGTGTGATATTATCTGCTTTCAGCAAGAATTCTGCTTGGTTGATTTTGCCAGAATCCCCCTTATCCATGATGCTTCTTCTTAGTAATTTTCCATCTACCGATCCCCACCACACTCAACGGCTATAAATTCTTACTTGCCCATCTCTCTCTCCCATTATAAAATCCCATTATAGTGATCTCTATACCCATCACAATCATCTGAATAAAGTGTGTCTTACCTTGTTTTAACACATCATTGAATAGTTTTCTCTTTAAGTAGTCTCCAATCTAAATTTTATTTTAAAATTTGTAAAAAATTATAATAAATATAATTATCTATGTGTGTATATATATAATTATTTTCACTTATGAAATTTTGAATTGAACTTTTCTAACATTTTTAATGGAAACTTCTATGCATATATATGTAGTAACTATGCTAAGTGGAACATTTCAATTCACCAACTATAGATCTACAAAGAAAGACCTATATGTCATTCTACTTTTTTAAAATAAAACTTTCCACTCCTGTATATTGTAGGTACTCAATAAAGGTGGTGGGAAATCAATTGAATTGCTAACACTTACACAGAGTCATCAAAATAAAGTTAGGCTACAAGATGCTTGCCTGTTCTAAGAGAAATTGATGAAATATGTCTTTATAGTATTTTGTTCTTACAAATAATATATAGTTTTCCAGTCTGTAGTGGTTGATATTATTTGTCACACTGAATGAAATATTTGTTTGGTATTATGGTAATCTAAACTGGTAAAAAAAATTGTTGTTTAAAAATCTGAGGCTGTTAAAAAGCAAAAAGCAACAGCGAAATTTGTTGAGACAAGATGAATCCATATATTTGACCTTCTTAAAGACAGTGCAGAGCTGAAACTTCAAAAAATGTGTGTGTGCGTATATATATACGTGTATATATACACATATATATATACGTGTATATATATACGTATATATACACATATATATACACATATATATATACACACATATATACATATATACATATATATATACATGTATATATATGTATATATTATTCTCAGTTGGGTGCCTCTTCAAAAGGATAGTTCATTATTCTACATTTTAAAATATAACTTTGTCTTTTGTTGTTGTTGTTTATTTTTGTTTGCCTAGGTAGGAATTTGCTTTAGCATAGAGAAAAACTGTATCTTCCCAGGCAAAAACAAGAGAAGTTACAAGAAGCAGACCAATGATATGAATCAGTGTGGAGAGGCAATTCACATAATAGAGCAATATGAACTTGAAACTTCGTAAATGGTCAGGTTACTTTTATTTTGTTTCATTCTTGGAATATTTGCCATATATTCTGTATAGAGACAGATTTGGCTTGATTTAGATTTCTCTCTGGCTCATTTTTTCAGAATATTTTCCTATCTTGTATCCCTTTCTATTTTAAAAAATAATAAATCACAAATTTCTAAGCCCTAATAAAGGTTAAAGTAATTATACTCAATTGAGAATAAACTAAACTAGAGATTTTATGAAATTATAATGAACATAATAGGAAGTCACAGTTTCAGTATATGTAAACTAAGAACAAATTTATTTTCTTAATATAGTTGCACTAAGAACATATGTTCATTAAGAAGATTTTACTTTCTTTTCTGTCCATATGCAAAGAATAAAATCTAGCTTCTTAATCTGGCTTTAAATTGCAATTTTTTTTCTTTTTGAGATAGAGTTGCTCATTGCAACCTCTGCCTCCAGGGTCCAAGTGATTCTCATGCCTCAGAGTAGCTGGGATCACAGGCGCCCACCACCATGCCCAGCTAATTTTTGTATTTTTAATAAAGACGGGGTTTCACCAAGTTGACGGGGCTGGTCTCGAACTCCTGGCCTCAAGTGATCTGCCCACCTCGGCCTCTCAAAGTGCTGGGATTACAGGATTGCAATGAGATTTTAACTCAAAAATATATGCTTTACAAGGAAAATACATAGAAGCAATTTAAAAAGTTGACCAGTTTACTCCCACTATACTCTCTCACTTTACACAGAAAATAAACAAAATCAATAAAATAATGAAGCATTGAAGACAACAGAAACAATACTAATGAAACTTTTTATATCTTTCTTTCTTTGTGTCTTCATATGCATTAAGTTTAGAATTAGAAAATGCGATTTCTCTCTAAGTGTGATGGACTAAAATCAAGGTTTTTTAAATAATACACATCAAACTGTATTGGGACTACCTTTCACCTCTCTGACTTTCTCCTGGTCTATAGTTCCTCATTGTAATCAAGCACAAAAATTTACACATAGATGTAGTACCTTTCAGTAATAAGTTTTATTTTCAAACCCTTGCATATGTGAAAAAGGACTTGGTTTCTTAGCATAATAACATTGTCCATAAAGTTTTGAAAGTTAAGTTATGACCCTGTTTGGGAAATAAAAGAAACGTAGAAAGAGAATTTGAATAAAATTAGGGTATTTTAATTTTCAGGGAGTAAAACAATTGCTCTATTGAATAATTTCCTGGTTAAATAGTAAACCCGTATGCCTTCTTGTTTCAGAGAAGAGAGTGGTAGAAAGAAGGCATCCTTGCTGAAAGAAATAAAGAACCAAAGGGTTTTAGTTATATATACGACGTATTACGAAAGAAGTGCTCAGATAAAAATTCACAGACTTAATTCTTAGTATTACTAAATAACAAAGAAAAAATACACAATAAATAATTAGCTAAAAAAGCAAGAAAGACTATACCCCTACAAAAAGGAATAAAAAGGAAAAGAATCATATAAAAAATAAATTAATAAAACTGAATTATTTAAAAATAGAGATTTTTAGGGCAAAATTTAAAATTTAATAATGCTATAGTATACGCCAAATAATAAAAATGTTGAGGATCATACCAGTATATTTTTAGAAGATACTAATGCTAAGAAAATCCAGTCTACTTTAACAATACTGAGTAATAATGAATTTCAATGATTTACATAAAATTTGTAGCAATGTTTTCTCTATATCTTTAATGATATATTTTTGCTTTGAAGACAATATTTTAAAGTAATTCATTTTTAGTATTTATTGCTTACAGTTTTATAATTTTTAATGAAAACTTAAGATCATATAAAATAAATCCATGAAAAATATGTGGAGAAATTAAAATAGTAATGCAACATATAGAATATAATTCGCCTTTCAGATATCGTATTTTCTCTTTAAGGAATTAAATCTGTCTTTGTTAGATGTTCCAAGACTATGAAATATTGTATACCATTCAAAAACACAGAAAAAGTAAAAGACATATTTATATATGCTCAGTGATTTTAATTGAACCAAGTTTCAAATATATTTTCTGTTTGAAATAAGCAAAATATAGTATCAAGCACATGTAACATAGCAAATACATGTTTTTATACAAAAAAACACATACTTTATTACAAATAGCATATGATAGAGTTAAATTGACAATTCAACTTCCAAGAGCATTGGAAACTTAGAATACCTGAACAAGAAACTGTCATTTGTGTTTCCAAAATTATATAATGTGCTAAAATGACTTATGATTACTTTTTAATCATGGATGGAAGCAATCCCTGGTCAGTCCTGGTTAATTTTGATTTCTGTATATTTTTCTGCTAGATTAGACACTTATGCAGCTATTTAATAATAAATTTAAGGAAGCTAAGAACCTTGGAAAAAGGACAGAGGAACTGCTAACTAGAATAACTAGTTTAGAGAAGAATATAAATGACCTGACGGAGCTGAGAAACATAGCAAGCGAACTTCGTGAAGCATACACAAGTATCAATAGCTGAACTGGTCAAGCAGAAGAAAGGATATCAGAGATTGAAAATCAATTTAACAAAATAAAGTGTGAAGGAAAGATTATAGGAAAAAGAATGAAAAAGAATGAACAAAGCCTCCAAGAAATACGGGACTATGTATCTTTGATTGGTGCACCTGAAAGTGTCAGAGGAATGGAAACAAGCTGGTAAATACTCTTCAGGATATCACCCAGGAGAATCTCCCCAACCTAGCAAGAAAGGCCAACACTCAAATTCAGGAAATACAGAGAATATTACAAAGATACTCCTCGAGAAGAGCAACCCCAAGACACATAATCGTCAGATTCACCAAGGTTGACATGAAGGAAAAAATGTTAAGGGCAGCAGGTAAGAAAGATCGGGTTACCCACAAAGGGAAGCCCATTAGACAAACAGCAGAACTCTCTGCAGAAACCCTACAAGCCAGAAGAGAGTGGGGGCCAATATTCAACATTCCTCAAGAAAAGAGTTTTCAACCCAGAATTTCATATCCAGCCAAAATAAGCTTCATAAGTGAAGGAGAAATAAAATCCTTTACAGACAATCAAATCCTGAGAGATTTTGTCACCAACAGGCCTGCCTTATAAGAGCTCCTGAAGGAAGCACTAAACATGAAAAGGAAAAACTGGTACCAGCCACTGCAAAAACATACCAAATAGTAAAGACCATCAATGCTATGAAGAAACTGCATCAACTAACGAGCAAAATAACCAGCTAACATCATAATGAGAGAATCAAATTCACACATAACAATATTAACCTTAATGGAAATAGACTAAATGCCCTAATTAAAAGACACAGACTGGCAAATAGGATAAAGAGTCAAGACCCGTCTGTGTGCTGTATTCAGAAGACCCATCTCACATGCAAAGACATATATAGGCTCCAAATAAAGGGACGGAAGAATATTTACTAAGCAAATGGAAAGAAAAAACAGCAGGGGTTGTAATCCTAGTCTCTATAAAACAGATCTAAACCAACAAAGATCAACAAAGACAAAGAGTGGTATTACATAATGGTAAAGGTATTAATGCAACAAGAAGAGATAACTATCCTAAATGTAAATGCACCCAATACAGGAGCACACAGATTTATAAAGCAAGTTGGTAGAGACCTACAAAGAGACTTAGGCTCCTACACAATAATAGTGGGAGACTTTAACACCCCACTGTCAATATTAGACAGATCAATGAGAGAGAAAATTACCAAGGATATTCAGGATTTGAACTCAGCTCTGGACCAAGTGGACCTAGTAGATACCTACAGAAGTCTCCACCCCAAATAAACAGAATATACATTCTTCTCAGCACCACATCACACTTATTCTAAAATTGACCACATATTTGGAAGTAAAACTCTACTCAGCAAATGCAAAAGAACGAAAGTCATGACAAACAGTCTCTCAGACCACAGTTGTAATCAAATTAGAACTCAGGATTAAGAAACTCACTCAAAACCACACAAATACATAGAAACTGAACAACCTATTCCTGAATGACTACTGGGAAAAATAACGAAATGAAGGCTGAAATGAATAAGTTCTTGGAAACCAATGAGAACAAAGACACAATGTACCAGAATCTCTGGGTCATGGCTAAAGCAGTGTTTAGAGGAAAATTTATAGTATTAAATACCCACAGGAGAAAGCAAGAAAGATCTAAAATCGACACCCTAACATCAAAATTAAAAGAACTAGAGAAGGAAGAGCAAACAAATTCAAAAGCTAGCAGAAGACAAGAAATAACTAAGATCACAGAAAAACTGAGGGAGGTAGAGACACAAAAAACCCTTCAAAAAAAATCAATGAATCTGGGAACTGGTTTTTTGAAAAGATTAACAAAGTAGATAGACCTCTAGCCAGACTAATAAAAAAGAAAAGAGAGAAGAATCAATAGCCACATTAAAAAAAAATGATAAGGGGGATACCACCACAGATCCCACAGAAATACAAACTACCATCAGAGAATACTATAAACACCATTATGCAAATAAACTAGAAAATCTAGAAGAAATGGATAAATTCCTGGACATATACAGACTCCCAAGACTAAACCAGGAAGAAGTCAAATCCCTGAATAGACCAATAACAAGTTCTGAAATTGAGGCAGTAATTAATAGCCTACCAACCAGAAAAAGCCCAAGACCAGAAGAATTCACAGCCAAATTCTACTACAGGTATAAACAGGGTGTGATACCAATCCTTCTGAAACTATTCCAAACAATAGAAAAAGAGGGACTCAACCCTAACTCATTTTATGAGGCCAGCATCATCCTGATATGAAAACTTGGCAGAGACACAACAAAAAAAATAAAATTTCAGACTTATATCCCTGATGAACATCAAGGTGAAAATCCTCAATAAAATACTGGCAAACCGAATCCAGCAGCACATCAAAAAGCTTATCCACCAAGATCAAATTGGCTTCATCTGTGGAATGCAAGGCTGGCCCAACATATGCAAATCAATAAATGTAATCCATCACATAAACAGAACCAAAGACAAAAACCACATGATTATCTCAATATATGCAGAAAAGGCCTTTGACAAAATTCAACACCAATTCATGCTAAAAACCCTCAATAAACTAAGTATTGATGGAACATATCTCAAAATATTAAGAGCTATTTATGACAAACCAACAACCAATATCATACTGAATGAGCAAAAATTGGAAGTATTCCCTTTGAAAAGCAGCAAAAAACAAGGATGCCCTCTCTCACCACTTGTATTCAACATAGTATGGGAAGTTCTAGCCAGAGCAATCAGGCAAGAGAAAGAAATAGAGGGCATTCGAATAGGAAGAGAGGAAGTCAAATTGTCTCTCTTTGCAGATGACATGATTGTATATTCAGAAAAAACCATTGTCTGAGCCCAAAACCTCCTTAGCCTTCTCCTTAGGATTCTCCTTAGGCTGATAAGCAATTTCAGTAAAGTCTCGAGATACAAAATCAATGTGCAAAAATCACAAGCATCCCCATACACAAATAACAGACAAACAGAGAGCCAAATCATGAGTGAACTCGCATTCACTATTGCTACAAAGAAAATAAAATACCTAGGAATACAACTTACAAGGGATGTGAGGACCTCTTCAAGGAGAACTACAAACCACTGCTCAAGGAAATAAGAGGGGGCACAAATAAATGGAAAAACATTCCATGCTCATGGATAGGAAGAATCAATATCATGAAAATGGCCATACTGCCCAAAGCAATTCATAGATTCAATGCTATCCCCATCAAGCTACCACTGACTTTCTTCACAGAATTAGAAAAAACTACTTTAAATTTCACATGGAACCAAAAAAGAGCCCACATAGCCAAGACAATCCTAAGCAAAAACAATGAAGCTGGAGGCATCACACTACCTGATTTCAAACTATACTACAAGGCTACAGTAACCAAAACAGATATATGGACCAATGGAACAGAACGGGCGCCTCTGAAATAACATCAAACATCTACAACCATCTGATCTTTGACAACTCTGACAAAAATAAGCAATGAGGAAAGGATTCTCTATTTAATAAATGGTGTTGGGAAAACTGGCTAGCCCTAAGTATAAAACTGAAACTGGACCCCTTCCTGACCCCTTATCCAAAAATTAACTCAAGATGGATTAAAGACTTAAACGTAAGACCTAAAACCACAAAAATCCTAGGAGAAAACCTAGGCAATAACATTCAGGACAAAGACATGGACAAAGACTTCATGACTATAATACCAAAAGCAATGGCAACAAAGCCAAGACTGACAAATGGGATACAATTAAACTAAAGAGCTTCTGCACAGCAAAAGAAACCACCATCAGAGTGAACAAGCAACCTACAGAATGGGAGAAAATTTTTGCAATCTATCCATCTGACAAAGGGCTAATATCCAAAATCTACAAAGAACTTAAACAAATTTACAAGAAAATAAACAACCCCATCAAAAACTGGGCAAAGGATATGAGCAGACACTTCTCAAAAGAAGACATTTATGCAGCCAACAAACATGAAAAAAAGCACATCATCACTGGTCATTGGAGAAATGCAAATCTCCATGAGATATCATCTCATGCCAGTTAGAATGGTGATCATTAAAAAGTCAGGAAACAACAGATGCTGGAGAGGATGTGGAGAAACAGGAACGCTTTACACTGTTGGGAGTGCAAATCAGTTCAACCATTGTGGAAAACAGTGTGACAATTCCTCAAGGATCTAGAACCAGAAATACCATTTGACCCAGCAATCCCATTACTGGGTATATACCCAAAGGATTTTAAATCATTGTACTATAAAGACACATGCACAAGTATGTTTATTGTGGCACTGTTCACAATAGCAAAGACTTGGAACCAACCTAAATGCACATTAATGATAGACTGGATAAAGTAAATGTGGCACATGTACACCATGGAATACTTAGCAACCATAAAAAAAGATGAGTTCATGTCCTTTGCAGAGACATGGTTGAAGCTGGAAGCCATCATTCTCAAAACTAACACAGGAACAGAAATCCAAACACTGCATGTTCTCACTCATAATTGACAGCTGAACAATGAGAACACAAGGACACAGGAAAGGGAACGTCACACACTGGGGCATGTCAGGACTGAGGGGTCAGTGGAGGGAGAGCAATAGGAGAAATACCTAATGCAGGTGACAGGTTGATGGGTGCAGCAAACCACCATGGCACATGTGTACCTATGTAACAAACTTGCACGTTCTGCACATGTATCCCAGAGCTTAAATTATAATTTTAAAAAATGACAAAAATATCTACCCCCCAAAAATTTATGGAAAAATTGAAATTTACATGTAATTCTATGGAAAAAATAATTTTTTTGAAAAGTGTGCATTAAAATTGACTGAAAAGGTGAGTAGTAAAACTTTTATTAAACCAATAAGAATGAAAGACGTAGAAAAAAACTTCAATGTAATAAAACGTCAATTTTCATGTTGTTTTTAATTAGGTTTAAAGTGCTGTGATAAAATCTATTCTATTTTTTAAAACCTGAAAAGGGAAAATGTACCCAAAAGAGGTTATGATGCAATCATAGCCCAAATTTCAATGCTGGACTAAAAAAAAATCTGTACATCTGTTTCAAATGGGGATATTACTGTGAATGGGAAATAAAATAATAGATAACTTAATCAGACTATATTTGTCACTATCTGCAATGGTCTAGGCTAGTTTATTACAGCAACAATATAATAATTAAAATTATAAAATATTTTAATAGAATTTATCACATCATCTTCTTGTAGGAAAATTAAAATAAAAAGAGCATTCATAGCATCAATGCATTTGTTCCATTTATATATGTGTGTTAACATTTTCTCTGGAGAAGATATTTCTTATCTTTCCCAAATCCTAAAATGTATTCATCCTATTTGCCATAGTTCTTTTTTAATAAGTTTTGCTAAGCAGACAATTAAACATATTTCAAAAGCTAGCCATCAATTCATATTTTAGAAAAACTAATACGGAAATATGTGATAGAAAATAAAATATTATTTTCATATATCTACTTTTGATACAATTCTATGAAGTCATAAGAATTATAACTGTATTGCAAAAGAAGATTAAATGACTAAGGAATATATTCACAGAGATACAGGCAATCAGTGACTAGAAGATGGTGTTATTGTCTTTGTAAAACATCAGCTAAGAAGCGATGAATTGCTAACTGTAAACAAGTAGATGGGTAAAACAGGATGACAAAATAATGACATTACTACTATATTTTTCTCAGTAGTTGATCAGGTGATTTTAGTTACATATTAGTTTTCAAAAATTCACATGAATACTGTTTCTCTAAGTTAGATGTAATTTATAGAAATATTTTAACTGAGTTTATTAAAAAGTGAGATAAGGATTTCAATAAACTATCAATAAGAAGAATATGAAATGGCAGAAAAGAATTCAAAATGAACAGCTACATTGTTAGAATCACTGATTCCTATCTTCTAGGCCATACCTTCTTAGTTTCTGCAAAGGTGGATATATGCTACTTCATTATCACCCTCCTTAGCTTTTGTTTTTTTCTCCCAGCTCCACTTACAGAAATACAAATCTCAGAGTGAAGGCCTGGCATAAAGAAAATCTGCATCTGTAAAAATAAAGCTAAACACTATCCACAAGTTTGTCAGGAAGCTTTGATGTGCTTAGCTGAAAGAACACTTTACACAGATTTGATATAATACTGACAAGAGTGGTCCTTATTCCAATATTGATACTAGTAAAACCTGCAATATGATCCTATATTTTGCATGCCATGCCTCAACTTTCCCATTTGGCAATACTTTCTCTGGAATATTAACACAACGACAGATAAATTGGAGTGTTTCTAGTTCCTCAGTACAAAGTTACATGTTTGACAATTCTAAGTGTCCTATTTTTTTCTTTACTTCAATTTTAAATGCCTTATGCTGAGAAATGGGTTAGTTATATAATAGAAAAGAGTTTGTATAATCACAGCCAATATTCAATTCTTCTCATTTTATTCTTCTCAGAATTAAATTATTGTAGTCCTTGTTAAAATTTAAATCCAAATTAAACACATTGATTTGAGCTGGTGTTTCTTAATTTGTTCTGATCTGTAAAGCACTTTAAAGTGAACAAGGGGTGTGTTATATAAATGCAAATGACTGAGAGGTTGTTACAGCTTTTCAGCATACAAGAATTCAATAGAGGAAACATAACTTATATCATAAACAAAAGAATCCTCCTGGAGAATGGTAAGAAACAAAGTACTTCAAACTACTCTAAATAGACAAATTGCAGTTACTAAAACACTCGTTAAATCACGTGTATTTAAAAAACAGCAACAAAAACAATTATAAGCAATGACAATTAGAGTGATAGAAAATTTAGTGGATATTCAGCTTAAGTGTCTCATTTTGGATATGAGATAACAAAGCAATTAGTATCTGGAACATGAATAGCCAGCAGAATTAGAACGTAAACCTAGTCATTCTAGCTTCCAATTCAATGTTTTCTGGACAAAATACATCTTTATTTAGATACAGTGAGGAAAAAACTTGGTCAAAATATTAATTTTAATGTATTTTAAAAACACAAATATTACTAATTACGATAAGGGATACTGAAATTTTTGTCTTTAAAATTATGTGTTGTATATACATATGTATGTGTATATATATTTTGCTGATCCTGTGGTTTGTCGATCTTATCTATTTATCTAATCTATCTATCTATCTATCTATCTATCTATCTATCTATCTATCTATCTAATTATCTCCCAGACTTGTACTGAGTGGAACTAAATGCCAAAGACATAGGTTGAAAATATTGTTATTCAATATTTTCATTGAAAAACAGTGGGAGGTGGAGAGCAAATTACTTGTTTACCAAAGCATTCTGTCATCAGAACATTTAAATGTTTAAAATAGGTTGATAATCTTAGAAGGATTCTTATTACCCTAGAAAAAAGGTCTAAAGAAAATGTATCTAATGTTAGTATAGCTACATTACTTTGAAAAAAAAATTCAAAGTGTGATTTTTCCCTGATTCTTCTGTCGTGCATACTTTGGTTTTTCTAGGCTAGAATAAAATGTTTTCTCCTTAGGAGAAAACATTTACTAATGTGAAGGGTCACTTTAGGCTGTCCTGAAAGGATAATTTGATATTTGGGATGATTATGTGTGTGCACATTTGTAAAACACTCAACATTGTGCAACTACTTCATAGAGAGGGTTAGTTCAGTGTAAATTTTCTCAACCAAAGGGATCTTATTCATCAAGCCCTCTTTCATTGCCTGTTTATGTTTTTATTTTTCCGAGGTTTTTCAAAGCTTTCATTTTTCAGAGTTTCAGCAATGCAGAAATATAAATTCAATTGGTATATTGGTTACGCTGATTTTGGACAAATCGCCACTTTGTTTTAGAAGATAAGACTGGCCCAGCATGCTTTTCATGACTCTTCTCTAAATCAGGCATGTGACATTAGATTAGGAAATGCACATGATAAGTATGCCACTAAAGCATTGAATGTCTTATTGACGTTATATTGCAATCATGTTTTAAATGTATTTGTACAGTATCATTCAACATGTTATGATGTAATGTGCTTTCTTAATTATTAAAATATTATTTTTCTTTTTCTTGAATTTAAAAAGTTGTATAGCAGCAGAGATGCTCAAATCTGAAGGATGACATGACAAAGCAGCTTTCCAACACCAAACTCAACAAAGTGTAGCAAAAGGGAAGAGATGAAAACCTAAGTGAGAATGTGAAATAGGTTTTTATTGAAGCGTGTTAGATTGCTGAATGGTATCTCACGGGAAGTAACAGAAGCTCTCTCACTTGAATCATTTAAAATCTCTCTTATAAAGAATAGTTAAGAATATATTGCCAGGAACAATCTCATATTGAAATAGAGAGAAATAAAATAACCTAGAAGTTCTTTTCCTTCTCTAACTTCTAATACTTTATAATTCTGTACATAGAAAAATATATTAAAGTCTGAGGTGCAGCTTTAAACAGCATTGAATTGTTTGTTTAGTTTTATGATTGTGCACAGAAATAGCAGATGTTGGTCTATATACTAAAATACTGCAGAAGAGTACCCTGAAATTTAGAAATAGATTACGTTAATGTACCCTGAAAGTGTCTCTTAAATTGAACCCCAGTTTATATTCATGCAGCCTAATGTGGTCTTCTAAAAACAAGTTACCAAAATCCATACTCAGTGTTTTAGGATGGTAAGTGTATTGAACCTATGAAGTATGCTGATAAAATTTCCATTGAAAAATTAAATCTACAGAATAAAACTAAACTGTAGATTCTCCAATTGACATATATCTTCCAAAAATGGGAAATACTTTTGAAATATATTAAAAATTACAAAGGAATGCATACAAAATTCTAAATTACTTATGTTTTTTGAAATTAGTATTATAATTTTCAATATAATTGATTTAAAAAATACCATGAAATCCTGTGTGTTTACTTTAAAGTATCACAAATATCAATGTAGTGATGGAAAATGCACTTATCAGACAACTTGACACAATCTTAGAAAAATATGAAGATTTGAGTAAGAGAAGAATATCATTCATTTTAAGTAGCATGTTTTAGGCAGAGAAATTGATTATCTTTAACAGTCTAAATTTTGTTTTAATGTAATACATATGACTTTTTTTTTTACAAAAAATCTGGCATTAAAAAGGTTAGTAAGGCCAGGCGTGGTGGCTCACGCCTGTAATCCTAGCACTTTGGGAGGCCGAGGCGGGCGGATCACCTGAGGTCAGGAGTTCGAGACCAGCCTAGCCAACGTGGTGAAACCCCGTCTCTACTAAAAGTACAAAAATTAGCCAGATGTGGTGGCACATGCCTGTAATCTCAGCACTTTGGGAGGCCAAGGAGGGAAGATCATGAGGTCAGGAGTTTGAGACCAGCTTGACCAACATGTTGAAACCTTGCCTCTACTAAAAATACAAAGATCAGCTGGGCGTGGTGGCATGCGCCTGTAACCCCAGCTACTCAGGAGGCTGAGGCAGAAGAACTGCTTGAACCCGGGAGAGGGAGGTTGCAGTGATCCAAGATCATGCCATTGCACTCCAGCCTGGGTGACAGAGAGAGACTCTGTCTCAAAAAAAAAAAAAAAAAAAAAAAGCAGTAAATGGAAAAGAGGGACATAGTATAGGTAAAAAGAAAATTAAGGAACATGTTAGCCAAATGTAATAAGACTCAATATTCAAATTTGAACAAGCTAACTTTAACAAAAACTCACATTTACAAATAATCTGAGAAATTTAAAGACAAAATAAGTATCAGATGATATTAGACAATTAAAGAGTTGATTATATTTAAAAATCTGTATGTGCTTTCAATAATAGTAGAACTTGCATTGATTAAATTATATAATGTCTGTGATAGCTGATGTCTATTGAATCAGATTTTTCTATGTACATTATTCATATCTTTATAACACTTTGTTGTGATGCAATAGTTTGTGAAAGTAAACCATAGTTGTTTGTCCATGTTTTATAAAACATATATGGCTTTTTGTTTGTTTTTTTGCCCAATTGGAGACATTGGTATTTAACTAACCTGAGAGAAAAGAGGGAGTGGTGATAATTTTTTAATTGAATGGAATTATCATATAAAGACTAATGGCTGAAATAAATATAAATAAGGTTGTGTTATCTGCTTTATTAATTCTCAAAATCACTATACATACATTTATTCTGATATATATTTTCTAACCTTTCTGGGAAACTATTAAAATGGTTATTTTATTTTTCAGTATAAATAAAACAAAAGGGCAGTGTAATGTTTGGAAATAAAATTGTTAACAGTTTACTCTATTTCAATTACTGATAATAAAATATTTAAAATATATCTGCATTCGAAAATTTTATTTATTTATTTATTTATTTATTTTTAACTATTAAGTTCGTGGGTACGAGTGCAGGTTTGTTACATAGGTAAGCCTACATCATGGCGGTTTGTTGTACAGATTATTTCATCACCCAGGTATTAAGCCTAGTACCCATTAGTTATTTTTCCTGATCCTCTTCCTCCTCTCACGCTCCACCCTCTGAAAGGCTTCAGTGTGTGTTGTTCCCCTCAATGCATTTGGATAAAGACTTGATGTCAAAAACAGTTGAACCAAAGAAGAATACTGACATTAACTGGAAGGAGATGAAATGACAAATACTGCAGGCAGTACTTTATAGAGATTTTTTTTTTTTTTTTGACACAGAAGCTTGCTCTGTCCCCAGGCAGGAATTAGAGGCATGTGCCACCATGCCTGGCTATTTTTTTTTCTATTTTTAGTAGAGATGGGGTTTCACCATGCTGGCCAGGCTGGTCTCGAACTCCTGACCTAAAGTAATCTGACTGCCTGGGCCTCCCAAAGTGCTGGGGTTACAGACGTGAGCCACCACCCCCAGTCAGAGAAGTGTTTTTGAGTCTCCTGTTTTACCTGCTCCTACCTAAATAGTAACACATGCAGACGGATGTGTGGGTTGTCTCAGGTATGGAGATATACCTCCTTCTCACTATATTTAGGAGAATTTATCCCAGAATACAAAAATTACATGTATGACAACATAGTATGCAAATTCAATAAGTGAAAAACAAACCTAAACTCAACAAACTTAAACAAATATACAACTGCATAACATTCCTATCTCCAATTCTACAAACATGCTAAAATTTACAGAAAAAAAACATTAATGTATAAATAATTTCTTCAAAATGACTATGGTGATATATCATTCAATGGATCTTCTAAACAACCTTGCACAGTAAAATCAGGAATAAATAAAAATTGTTTAAAACACCTAAAAGTAAAAGCAACAAATAAGAATACAAATGTTCTCTAGAGTAAAAACTAACCAAACTTCTAAATTCAAATAATATAACACAAAGTAATTGACCATTTATATTTATATAAAACTTGTTATTTTGCCCTGATGTACCAGAGATAAAACCCTATATCATAACATAGATCAGCAGAATCAGAAATCATGGAAGAGTTTGTCGTTAACAAATCAGAATAGCTCTGCATATCTGTTAAAATATGAATATGAATAATGTGTTTCTCTCCAATGTGTGTGATTGTTTTATGCATTGTGTGCAGTATATGGAATATTTTAGAAAAGTTAGATAGACCTTACCAATTATTTGTGAGGTACACAAGTTGATAACTATTGAAAGTTCTATGGCCAGGCGCAGTGACTTATGCCTGTAATCCCAGCATTTTGGGAAGCCGAGGCAGGTGGATCACCTGAGATCAGGAGTTCGAGACCACCCTGGCCAACATGATGAGACCCCATCTATACTAAAAATACAAAAAAGTAGCCAGACTTGGTGGCAGGTGCCTGTAACCTCAGCTACTTGGGAGGCTGAGGCAGGAGAATCACTTGAACACGGGAGGCGGAGGTTGCAGTGAGCCGAGATCACGCCACTGCACTCCAGCCTGGGCAACAAGAGCAAAACTCTGTCTCAAAAAAAAAAAAAAAGAATAAAGAAAATAAAGTTTTAGTTATACTAATACCTTACCACCAATTTCACCTACATAGTATGTAATGTAGTTAAAGTATGCATTTCATTGCTTACTTTAAGCGATGAAATAACACATTCAAATAATGCATGCATCAGTATTTGGAATTTAAAAGTGTTTTTGGTTTGTTTGTTTTTGTTTTTGTTTTTGTTTTTTTGAGATGGAGTCTTGCTCTGTTGCCCAGGCTGGAGTGCAGTGGTGCAATCTCGCCTCACTGCAACCTCCGCCTCTAGGGTTTAGGCGAATCTCCTGCCTCAGCCTCCCAAATAGCTGGGATTATAGGCGCCTGCAACCCCACCCAGCTAATTTTTCGTATTTTTAATACTGATGGGGTTTCAGTATGCTGGCCAGGGTGGTCTCAAACTCTTGACCTTCTGATCTGCCCTCCTGGGCCTCACAAAGTGCTGGGATTACAGTTGTGAGTCACCGGCACCCGGCCAAAAGTGGTTTTAAAAGTCATTCATGAAAATCATTTTTACATATTTATAACTTATATCCGTGATTGAAATGTACAGGCTCATGTCTAAATCTCATCCACTTCTCTAACTTCACTTAACCTAGATTATCCCCAGAAATAAATGCTTTTTTAATGTAGTGATTCCATAGAAATTATTTCTTTTTTTTTTTTTTCTGGTGCTTCTGTCTAAGAGGCATTTTAGACAGATACTTCTGTATTTATGTTGCCTTCCTTGGGTTTTTTCATCATCAACAATTGTGAATATCATTTGCAAAAGTACATATATTTGCATATCCAATAAACTATATATAAATTTCAGGCTGGTTTAATCTTTTACCAAACTTTCCATGATTGCTCCTAAAATCACTTCACACAAACAAATCTTGGGACCCGGATGTATAGTGAATGAAATTGGGCTGATTTGGTAAGAGCTCAGAGAAAGATAGCTTACAATCTTGTGCACATCTTCAAAAATTTTAGTCCTTGAATTTGTGGATGATTTGTGAAATGTAATAAACAAAACACTATCCTGAAATATTAAGTTTGTTTATTTTAGTCACTCTCTAAGGGGCTCTGAATAGCATTTTTTGTTTATACATCTACCTCCCCCATCTTAACAAACATTTCTAGCAAGAAGAACACCTCAAAATCAAAGCAAGGGGCATCTATGAATTTCTTTCCTTTCGAAGTTAAAGTAGATATTATAAAATAAGCATTCTATATGTTCAGTTTATTAAAGTCAATAGAAAGCTTTTCTAAACAGCACATCATAGAGCTACCATTTATCATACTTTAATTCAGCACCTATTGCAAGAATAAATGCTTCAGTGAACTTTGGTAAGCCAAGTGACACACTCAATAAGACTTATCTAACATTTACCTGGTTCTACTATGAGACTCAGATTTCTTTTTTTTATTTTTATTTTTTTTAGATGGAGTTTCACTCTTGTTGCCCAGGCTGGAGGGCAATGGCACGATCTCGGCTCCCTGCAACCTCCGCCTCCTGGGTACAAGTGATTCTCCTACCTCAGCCTCCCGAGTAGCTGAGATTACAGGCATGTGCCACCACATCCAGTTAATTTTGTATTTTTTAGTAGAGATGGGGTTTCTCAATGTTGGTGAGGCTGGTCTTGAGCTCCCAACCTCATGTGATTGGCCCACCTCTGCCTCTCAAAGTGCTGGGATTACAGGCGTGAGCCACCGTGCCCGGACTCAGATTTCTTAAGAGTTTCTGAAATTTAAGGATAAAAATTACGGCTATTATTATAGATATTTCTAATGTTCCAAATACAAATTTATGAAGTTTAAATACGTATAGGGACATATTTTCTCTCGAAACTAATTAGAAATAAAGGCATGGCTTAATAAGAAACATTAAAATATGTGTGAAATATACATATTTTATTTTTCTCTACAGTTAGAACTTTCTGAGTAAATTTTACTAAAGCTTGGCACCTGTGTTAAATAAAAAGGCTAATAGTTATATTACGATTAATTGTTTAGTCAGATAAGAATCCCTGGGTTGTAAAGTTTCAGACAGCTAAGCAGTCTCGTCTTCTGGGAAAACGTATTTGCATTCCAAAGAAGTAAAAAATAAGAACCTAGAATCCTTCCCAATGTTTCTGAGAAGACTCTTTCAGAAGGGGAGTGGACACAGCTACTCTCTCTCCTATATAAATATCCATATTCACTTTTTCTGGATTCCCTATGTACTGTACACTCTATTATATGTAGACTGACTTCTTCTTGTTTCACCTCAGGAAAAAATTGGAGGAAAGTAGAATAGGCACATTTATTATTTGCTATTAGTAAATAATTAATTTTCCCCTCTATAGCAACCTTGTATTGGCATCCAAGATAATGTTAATACATACAAATATTAAAAACTGAATATTCATATTGGGGAAATTTACAAGATGCTGACAAAATAAATACAGTCCTTAAATAGAGGCATCCCGTGCTACATAGAAATTTAAATGATTCAATAATAATTCAAACACTCAGAAGAATTTTTTAACATTTTATTAGTAATAATTAGAGATTCCACAGAAAGTTGTGTCTTATATACCCTTCCTTCAGCTTTGCCCAATGTTAACACCTTGACAAGGCCTGTGCAATGTTAAAACCAGGAAATTACCATTCATGCAAACCACAGAGAGTATTCTTCAGGTTTTTTCAGTTACACATGGACTCATTTTTGTGTGTTTGCGTAAGTGTGTGTGGTGCTATGCAATTTTAATCCAAGTGAGACTTCATATAACCACCACAAAAATTAAGTTCCTAAACTGCAGACTCATTTCAAGATTCCCTCATGATACCTCTTTACAGCCTCATTCTCCCACTCATCTCAAACCCCTAGCAATCAACAATTTGGTTTTTGCCTTAATAATGATGTTTTTCCTCACAAATATTATATAACTATACAGATATAGATATATACACACATATACATATATTATATATTATATAATGTTATTACATAAGTGTATATATAATAATTCAGATGTATTCTTTAGATTAGCTCTTTTTGAGCTCAGCATGATTTCCTTGAGGTCCATACAAATCGTGTGTATCAATAGTTTGCTCCTGTGTAAAACTGAGCAGTATCCCGTGGTATGGATGTACCACAGTTTGCTTACCCATTCACCATTGAAAGCCATTTGGGTAGTTTCCAGTTTCTGGCTATTACCAATAAAACCACTATGGGCATTCATTTACAAATTTTAGCATGAAACTACATTTTCATTTCTGTAGTATATTTGCCCAAAAGTGAAAATGTTGGGTCATATGGTAAATCCACTTTTAGTTTTAAAAGACACCACCAAACTATTTTTCAGAGTGGCTCTATACTTGCACTCCAACCAATGAAGTATGAGTAATCCAATTTCTCTGTATCTTTGTCAGCATTTAACAGTATAACTATTTAATACTTTAGCCATTTTTACAGGTACACAGTGATATCTTAGGGAAGGTCTAATTTCCATTTATCTAAAGGCTAATGATGTTGCTATTTTTATATGCTTATTTGTCACTTGGATATGCTCTATTGAAATATCTGTTCACATTCCTCAATCATTTTCTAATTGAATTGTTGTTGTTTATTGTTGTATTTTGAAAACCATATATATCTACATATATATTTATGATATGGGTACTGTGTTGGAAATATGATTTGCAAATTATTTCTGCCAGTGTATAACTTGTCTTTTTATCCTCTTACCATGATGTTTCACAGAGTAAATGTTTTAAATTTTGATCATGTCAAATTTATCCAATTTTTTATCCAATTTCCCTTTCACATATTGTGCTTCTGGTGTCATTTCAAGTAATGATCTTTCCAACCTTACTTTTCTGCCAGAAATTTTATAGTTTTGTGTTTTCCATTTAAGGCTAGGATCCATTTTGAGTTAAACTTTGCATAAGGTGTGAGGTTTAGTTTAAGATTCATTTATTTGCCTATGAATGCCCAACTGATCCATCATCATTTGCTGCAAAAGCTGATCCTCCTCCATTGAATTGCTTTTACTTCTATGTCAAAAATTAATTGGATGTATTTATGTGGATCTATTTCTGGGTTCTTAATATTTTTTGAAGATAACTTTAAGGCATGGTATTATTCAGAAAATAAGAAATAAATGCAGACCATCAATTTGCATTTAAGCAGTGAAAGATGGAAAAATGGGCCTCTCAAATCTATGCTTCTTGTCCAATTTTAGTGTTTGGGAATGATGTATTATAGAAGATTATCACATATGTGCCGTATAACTGACTCAGTGTTTATTGTCAATCAAGGAAATAATATAAATGCATGATTTTAATTTCAAATGCATAATTTTAATTTCTATTTGGAAGCTAATGGTTTTCAACTGGTGTCACTTATCTGTTCTGAGCCAGAAATATAGTTCTAATGTTTCCTAAATATTTTTCAACTGAATATTCCATAGGCAACTCAATTTCATTACATTTAAATCTGAATTTATGATCTCCCCAGGGTAAGGGCAACATATATTATTTCTCCCACCTTCATGATTTTAGTTACTTGTAGTTTTATTCTCTCAGGCATCTAAACGCAAGTTCAAATGTGACTGCCTTCTGATTTCAAATACCTAGCACATTACCAACTCCTGCCAGTCAAAGTATCTCCAGTATTACTGAAATCATGTCCATTATCTTCATTTTCCAGTGCTTCTGCTTTAATTTAGATTTTTAATATTTTTTCCTTGGACTATTTTTATAGTATCACCTTGGCATTCAAACCATGGCCAGGTGCCTATTTGCTTAGTACTGACTTACTCAGTGTTTTTGTTCACTTGGCCTAAAACTAAAATTCATAACTAAGAGGCCAGATCACCATCTGTAAAAGTGAAGGTTGATTCACCAATATTTACATTCAAAGTATAAAATTAAATAGTCATAGAAGAAAGCCTCTTAGTTCAGTAGCATATAACTGCTTAATAAATGTAATTACGTTGAACATCATTAGTAAGTTAGATAAAACCCTTGTGTGAGAACTTGTGTACATTTTCAAACTAATCTTCCTCAAACTTCCCTAATTAGGTTAAACTTGGGCCCTAATGTATTATGGTACCTCAGCTGCTCTATGACAACTGAACTCCCACTCACTTGATAAATTGTTGCCTATTCTCCCTGGATAATTAGGAATTTCCTATTTCTTTTTTGAAGTAATACACAATATAGTTTATATAAAACTGCGATATATTTTATTTATCTATTTTACTGTTTTTTTTTTACTAAATGATGTTTCTAAAGATCTGCTATCTATGCTATTGTACATTTTCAGTACTTAAGTATCTAACTGATTTATGGGAACCTTGGTAATAAAATATCACTCAATAAGATATATGAGATTAAAATTTCCACTAAGACACTTGATGAAAAGTAGAAATAAATGACTCCTCCAAAATGAGTGAAAATATTAATTTTTTATATTTTTCTAATAATTTCCCTCATATTCTCATACCATTCACCCTCTTGAGAGTAACCAGTTTAAATATATTGTTGTATTTCATTTTCTTTGTTCATATACTTATATACATAAATATAGCCTGATAAAGTTTTCTTTGATAGATTTTTCTAAAGAAGAAAATGCTATAATCATAATCTATTATGGTCCCCTCCCATCCCCTCCACTCCCCTTCCCTTTCTTTGCTTTTACTTTTTCTTTTGATAAATTATGGATATACCATTCTGGAACTTTAGAGATCTAATACTATCTCCTTATTTTACCCACACCCGTATGTGGGCACAATTTCACATAAATAACACCATATCATATATGTTGGGAGTTTCTGAGAATTTTCCTTATCTCTTTATTTTTGCCTTTCTTTTTCCTGTTGGCTGGTAATATCATCCTACACCCCACACACACTTAGTAAAAGGCATAAAGCTAATATATTTTATATCTATAGATGATTATAACATATATCTATTATTACATACTTTTAAAATTGTTTATATCATCAAATTTCTGCTTTTTCTCACAATTATTATGGTAATATAATTAAGTCATTTGATATAGTTTTAGTTGTGCAAAATTAATCAATTATGCCCTAATTGCCCTGAATTCAGATTGCTTTCTTCTTTTACCATTGCAGTGTTTAAATACACATGTGCATCCATTAATGCTTTAGTTTCTTTTTAAATAATAAAGAAGAGGATTGATGAATAAAAGTTCATAATAATCTCTAAAGTCTGATGTTTTGGTACAATTTGGCACAATTTTTCCCGACATTGAATAATGGCAACTGTGTATTTGCCTTTGAAAGTCGGATTCTGATAAAGTATTCTAGCAATTTTGTCTCAATTTTTATTTATCCATTTTGCAAAATATCTAATAAAATAAATTTTAAGCATCATTGTGTGCTTTTATTGTCCATTTGGATTAGCTTTTTTATAAATTATCAATTCTTATCATTTGCCAACTTTTCTACTTGGTTGTGCTGTGGCTTTAAAGCCACTGGTTTGGCTTGGTTTACCTATATTTTCAGAAATTTTCTTTCTTCTATGTGTCTGGTTATTTTATGCCACAAATGAGATTCTTGAAGATTGGGCTGATTGAAAGAAAGCAACAACCACTTTGTAGCCCACACCCACTGGTGATAGATATGGTTTGGATATGTGTCCCCCCACATATCTCATGTTGAATTGGAGTGGCCTGGTGGGAGGTGATTGGATCATGAGGGTGGATTTCCTGCTTGCTGTTTTCCTGATAGTGAGTGAGTTCTCATGAGATCTAATAGTTGAAAAGTGTGTGCACTTCCCCCTTTTCTCTATCTCTCTCCTGCCACCATGTGAAGAAAGTTCTTGCTTCCCCTTTACCTTCTACCATGATTGTAAGTTTCCATGATTGTATGTTTGTAAGCAGTCAGGCTTCCTTTTAAGCCTGGGAAACTGTGAGTCAATTAAACCTCCTTTCTTCATAAATTACCCAGTCTCAGGTAGTTCTTTGTAGCAGTGTAAAAACAAATGAATACAGTGCTGACTTGCTGATACACGTTCTTTCCATAAAGGAGCCGCCGGACTTGCAACTGTTCTACTATCCTTTGGATTAATATCAGCTTCTTAAACTGATGGGCTGGGTATGTTTGGCTCCGTGAAAATGGGTGCTCGCTACTACAGGATACCCATACCACCAATGTCAGAGGCAACAAGAATGGACACAAGTTTCAGTTGCTCCTGGAAGGATTCCATCCTGTATATTCAATTCTTCTCTTGAGCTTCTCTACTTTATATTCTTCTTCCTTTCCAAACTCCCTGCACTGTAGACATCAAGGTTCAGCCTCATACATAAAGACAACAATCTGACACAGTCCAGCATAGAAAAATATCAAATCCACATACAATTATATATAGATATAAAGTATTATCTCTTTATATACATATATAAAGAGATACATAAGATATATATACAATAAGATATAATAAGACTATATATATATATATCTTAGTAGCTCTGCATCTATGGTTAAACCCTGCCTAATACAAGTATTTATTCATTTGTTGTCAATTTGTAAGAGCACTTCGAATATTACTAATTAGTGGACATTCTAGCATTCTTTGAAGTAACCTAGAGATATTTAAACTAAGATTTCAGGACATGACCTCTAGAGTTGTTGATTCGTAGGTCTTGGGAACCTCCTGAACTCCGACATTTCTGACAAGTTCCTATGATGCTGATGTTTCTGGTGTGTGGATGGCACTTTTGGAACCACTGTTTTAAACAGGAAAACTTCTAAATGGTCATCTGAATTGTAATTCTATTTTTGAAATTTATTTTTGACATAATATTTGTCAGGCTCATATTTTTAAATGTATATAAATAGGTAATTTATAAAATGCATTGCTCTTGTTTCCCTGTGTTTGCCTTACTCCCAGTTATTTTACATGTAGTTTAATTTTCTTCTAATGTAACTTCCCATTACCGTATTTCATTCATCAATTACTTTTTTCCTCATGATGTCTAATAAGATAAAATAACATTTCGATTATATATTGATGACACTTTCAGAATCATCCATTCTGTTCTATTGGTATTCGTGTCCATTTCAAATCAATGTCTTATTTATTTCATCATGGTGACTTTATTATGTACTCTGATATTGACATTCTTCAATCTTTCTTGTTCTTATATTGTCTTTGGCTGTTGGTGAGTATATTTTCTAAATAAAATTTTGGACAGTTTTTATAAGAAAAAATTTTAAAAATTATTTCATGAATGTATTTTTGTATTGTCACGTTTTGTTTTGAGAAAAGGTCTTGCTATGTTGCCCAGGATGGAGTGCAATTGTGCAATCATGGCTTACTGTAGTCTCGACCTCTTGGCCCAAATGATCCTCCTAGCTCAGTCTTCTTTCTGGTTCTCCATCTATTGATTTTTCTTCCACTGCTTCTAAACCATGTTGGATCTATCTCTAGATAGTCACAGGGTTTGCATTTTTGGCATTAGCAACAAATTAGTAATAGAACCACAATGACGATGATATGTAGAAACTTTTGAGCTTTTCTCATTTCAATCCTAACTGAAAGAGTTATGTGATGATATCTGGTTGACATAATTTTATGGTAGCATGCAATACCAGAGTATTGTGATAAGACTATATTTATGTTACTATAATAATGTGTTATAGGATAGGTAAATAGATTGTTTCAGAAAGAAAACTATTTATTACATCATTCTTCACCCAATTTTTCTTTCTAAAAGTTACTTCTAGGTTGAGAGCCATATTTTTCTCTTTGGATCACTATGTTACATTTGAATAAAAAGAAAAAATACAGCTACACCATTTCCATAAAATATATTTTTAAAATAAAGTGTTTGATCCTCAACAAAGTATGGACACAGCTCTGGGGACATTGAGTAATTTGGGTTTCCTTGGGGGTGAAAACACAGAGCAGCTTGATTCCTTCAGTTGATTACTTCATATGAATCAAAGCAGGGATTCTCCACATACACAGAGACATATCATGGGGCTCGGGACAGGTAATATAATAGTCACTAAATCACGAGTACCACCCACTCAGAGGCAGGAGAGACAGGAGACTATCTGGGAAGTATCATGTTGTGGTAAGAATTAACTCTTGAATTTGCAAATTATAGGAAGAAGTTAAAGTTGGGAGAGTGGCAATATTACCTGGGTAAAGAAAGTGTAGGATAGCAAAACTTTTTTCATTAAACACAAAGATTTTTCAATATTTTAATGAAGCGTGCGGATTGACAAGTGTGTTCTGCCAGAATAAGAGTTTTAATTACGATTTCAATAACTCTTCTCAAATTAAGTATTTTTTAGCCTTAGTTGGCCCTACTCCTGTCCTAATAGTACAAAACAGAACTCTGAAATAAAACTGAACAGTTTATAGAATAACAACATAATTTACTCCATACAAATAAACCTCAATGGTTTAATTACTTTGATGTTCATAATATGACATGCTTTGGCTAAGGTTTATGAGACCCATAAACCTAAGTTCAGCAACAATTGATTTTTCAAAAGGCAAAAGGGTGGATATGATAAACATCTGTTTTTTTCAGTTGATGATTATCGTAGAAAACATAGTTTAGATTTGCAGCCAAATGGATCACTACTACTATAATTTCTGAAATTTATCAATACACTTTTCTTCCAAACCTCTTTCCACCTCCCCACCATTGCTCATAGGTAAGTGGGGTGGGGCCAAGATAGCTGATAGAAACAGCCGCAGTGGGAGTCTCCTACAGAAAAGAAACAAAACAGCATGTGAATCCTGCACCAACAACCGGGGTATCCAGGTTCTATCATTAGGATTGACTAGGCAGCTGTTGTAGCCCACGGAGAGCAAGGAAAAGCATGGTGGTATGTTGGCCCATCTGAAAGCCACACTGGGCAAAGAGAGCCCCCACCTCCAGTCAAAGGGAGGCAATGAGTGATTGTGCTACCCAGCCTGGGAAACCATGCTTTTTCCATGGATCTGTGCATTAGTAAATGTGCTCTCCTGTTGAAAGACATTTATTTAATTTTGTGTGAAGGCAATATATGTTTTGTAAAACTGATAAGGCTGTAATAACAGTATTTATTTATTTATTTATTTAACCTTAAAGGAAGGGCTGTAGTTTCCTAAACTTAAAAATGAAATAAGTTGTCACCAAGGAGTACATCCTTTCCCCAATCTCTCCCTTCCCTAATGACTCCAAGGCTGTTAAATGATTGTGTCTTTGCTTTCAAAATAATCAATTAGTTTTTTCAAGGCCCATAGTCAATAGTCACAAAAATCTATTATTCTAACCAAATGAAGAACACATAAATATACATAGATTCATTCATTTTGTTAATTCCAAATTCCAAAAGTAACTGAAGGGGCTTGGAATTTCTTAGTTTCAGGTGAAAGCTCATTTTACTTTCCCAATCTAGAAACAGTGAACTAAATTTTTGTCATTTTCTTATCTTAATCAAGGTGATCTTCTCTTTACTCTGCATCCCATTTCTAAGGTGGTATGAATATAAGAGCAATCATGTATTACCAAGAATTTTCCTCTAAAAACAGATGTGCAAATAACTAAACAAAAAGAAGGGGACTTCTTTGATGATACAAAAAAAAATGTGATTCAAGGAAAACAAATGGCAGAAAGTGGTTGCATTAGCATTAGAGCAAGACCCATATTTTACTCAACTCAGTCTAGAAAAGAAACATTTAGAACCAAAAGAGAAGACATGTAAGTTCCTAAACTACTTTTTAATTAACCTGAAAATCTGCTCTGTGCATACTGAAATAGTACATATGTGATTTGCATAAAATACCTTTTATTGAACCTAGGCATCCATAAAACCAATAGGAAAATACATTTTTTCATAAAGTAAAATAATTATTAATTGTATAGTACAGATATTCCCTGACTTACGATGGGGCTAAATCCCTATAAACCCATCCATAAATTAGAAACATTGTAAGTGGAAAGTACCTTTTCAACTTATAATATTTTCACTTTAGGGATGAATTTATCTGCATATAACCTTATCATAAGTTGAGGAGCTACTGGATGTGTCTTGCTTTCATATTATCTTAAAGTCAAAAAACCTTCGGTTGAACTATCATACGTCTGGGACAGTCTGTATAGGCAAATTAGAAAAATAATAAATTTCACCTTAAATGTCAATTAAAATTATTTTATTATTATTTTGGATATAGTGAGCAATTACAAAAAATACAAGCACTAATGAAAAAAATGTATTTGCAAAGTGTTCATTTACCTAATGTAATTTCTAAATGTTCATTTACTTAAAATAATTTTTAAATGTATGTCATTTATATGTATAAACATATTATACAGTGAAGACTAATTGACAAAAGAAAATAGTAATAAAACAGTACTTTAGAATCAGCACATAACAAGATACATTCCTTAAATGGCTCTTTATCATAAAACATATCCTGAAAGTTCAATGCAGGCATAATATCAACTAGGGTATACTTTAAAAGCTGTAATTGGACTTTATCCCAGAAAAGGCTAAAAAATTGAAATATGTTTTATATCATTGTGCATATTATTCTGTGATAAAAATAGTCTTATATTTCTTAGCAGCATGAAAAATTGTCCAACAAGGGAATAATCAAAAAATAAGGAAAAGCAATCAAAGGAGAAAGGGGAAGAATTTTAGCATCCGTTAGGAAAGAAAGCAATAAACGACTTGCGTGAATAATTTCAAAGCCTTGAATGAGCTGCTTGTACCTCCCAGAAGACTTGTGAAAAAATAAAGACATCTTTTAAACCGTTGAAGAGAACGTATATAAGACAATTTTCATGCTTTTTTAATCTAGAACATAAAAATGTGAGAAGTACATTTACTGTACAAAGTCTTATCTGAGAAACCATTTAAAGAATATGGAAATAGCTTAATATTGCAAATCTATAGGCCGTGAAATTTCTCCAGTAAACAAAAGATCATCCCTAACATGCAAATTTATTTTGGTGGTGTTCAATAAAGAAATTGCCTTATTATTTCTATAAAGATTTAGTACAAGACCACATTTGTACATTGCAAAAGACATAAGATCCACAATTTAGCATTATTTTCATCTTTCCTGAAGATGAAATATAGTGTTCTACCATAATTATGGCCTATCAATTACTTAATTTTAAGTGCTTAACCATAAGGAGACTAAATAATGTGAATATATACTTACTGGGATCTACAAGATTATTATATTTATAGTATTGTTGTGTATAGCTTAAAATCATAAACTATAACAAAATGGACACCAAACTTCCAAAACAAATACATATATAGATGAGATGGTTTACCCAATTGTAAATGTACAGTTTATATAATCTTTCAAGGTAATTTAAGCATTTTTATATTTTCAAACCTTAATATAATCTTATTAAGGTTTGAACTTTTAATATTATGAATTGTGTTATATTTTTGCCTTGTAATTTGTAAGCCCATTTCTTAATAATACACTCTAAAACAGTGAAAATTCTTGCTTGGGTTAATGACAGTTTCTTTTATTCAAACAAAGCAATAGCTGAGAGCTACTCTCTTATTTTTATATAAGACTGGGTTAAAGAACTAGAGAACAATTTTGAAAAATAGGTCTTCCTTCTATTTACAGAGATTTTTTTTTAGTTCTTCTCCAGCCCCATAGGTCTACCATCTTCAGGATATTTGAGCATTTCCCCTTTTTACAATTATCACTAATTTCTTGATCTCTTTGCTCATTAAGTAATATCTACTGATTTTTGTTCTTTATTCATTTCTTACCAAGTTTTCTTTTGGGGGCCATTAAATGAGTATCCTTATACCTAATTAAATTATTAGAATATTTTCTGTGGTTGTAGTCCTTGCATAAGCTCCTACTGAAATAATTTCTTCACCTAGATACAAAAACCATTATATGAAAATACTAAATAGCCATTTATGTTATTCTTCTGCTCAGGAACATGTAATGTCTTCTTGCTGCCAGTAATTTCTTATGAAAAGTTTTTAACCTACCCAGTACTCACAATATAATATTATTCAGATAGAATAGACCACTTACTCACAGAAGGGTATAAAGCAACATTGAAAATTAGCAATTTAGAACATTTTTCTTCAAAAACAGAATAATGATATTCATGCCAATAAACTTTAGAAAATTAAATTTGATTCATTTTCTCAAAGCTTAGTTAAAAAATACAGATTTCATTAAATAGAAACTATTGCCTTAAAATATAGCAATTCTGAAAATTTTTTTAGAAGTAATTTTAACAAGCTTTACAGAGAAACTGATCACACTATAATAATTCCCCTTCACAACCACTTTGTAAGGAAGTCATTGTAATTCCATATGGTTAAAATATCATAATGCATATGAATTATTGAGTTTGTTTTTAACAAAGATCGCTAGTCATGACTCAAGTATTTTCACTTTCACTAAATATCTATGTGTTTCTGATGAAGTTGTTTACATTTCAAATGTTTAGAAATGTTATCCTTAATGTTTACAATTTTATAATATTAATAACAGATCAATGTAATTAATTCTTCCTTGCTTTGTTGATTTTAGAAGTTAGAGATTCTTTTGGAAATATAGTTGGAGGAAATGAGTTTTCTTCAGATGTTTTCTTGTATTTTAAGCCTTAGCAGAATCACTGGCCAGTCCTGAAATATAAATGGCCCCAATTCATCATGACAGATATAATGTTGATATAACATGCTTAATAAATTTAATGTTGATATGACAATTGCATGAATTAAAGAGGCTTTGGGAATACATATTCAAAATATTATATGTGAGTGGTGTATGTGTGTCTTATTAAGAGCCTGAAACTGAATTGAAAGGGTATAGAATCTGCAAATTCTATTCTCTGTACTCCACCAACATAGTGTTATGCAGTATATGTGTGTGTGCGTGTGTGTGTGTAAGCCAAATACAAATATGATGACTTAAATATCATTAATTCCACATAAATACATGTTTTCTTATGTTTTTCCTTCAACTTGCCTCTGCTTTATATTCTTTATACAATTCTTCAGGACCTGATTCACTGAGTCTTGAGCTTGGTTCTCCAAAGAGTTTATATGGTTCTGTCACTTCTATTCTGCAATAGAAGTTTCTGTAATCTGTTTCCCAATTGCCTGAGTAGTAACGACTTGGCAATATTTTGCCACCAATATTTAAATAACTCAGAGATACAACAGCTAATAAACATTAATGGGGGCTCCCTAAAAATATTGCATGGTATCCATTTCTTACACTCAGTAATATAAATGCCATAACCTGAACAGAAAAATATATTTTGGAATAAAACAACAATTAAACATGATTAAATAGTTTCTGCAGGTTTTCCCTTACTTTATTTGTAAGAAACAACAGAATTTCTATCTTGGATTCAGCAGACAGAGCTCTCACTAAGTAACAACGGAGTATTCACTTTTTAGTTTATTAACCCTGTTACCTCAGAATAGCTATTTGATAGCTTTTAAGTCAATATGATAAAACTCTTCTTAAGCCTGGAGTTTGTGTTTTCATTAAAATAAAAACAGATATTGTGGATATTGTTTATATTTATAATATTGTTTATAATATTATATATTTATAATATTGTTTATTTTTATAATACAAATATAAATATTTAATTTAATTGTGATTCATAGCCCAAAGGAATAAAAATAAATAATGAGTAGAATTCTAGGGTTCATAACACTTTCTACTCAATTTGCAATGGCACATGTTGTATGTTATTGTCATTTGCTCTATTTCCAATTAAAGCCATTTTCATCTTGAGTCAGGATAATATGTGGTTGACCACCTTTTCTTAAAATTGAAGAATTTCATTAACAATGTGTGCTTGATATCTACCTTCAAGACATGTTTTATATTAGAGGCAAACCTTGGAGAAGCAGAAGCAGAAGGAGAAGCAGCATGCTTAAGAAATTGAGCATAAGCTAAGCAGTGGGTGTAATACAGCACATCTGGACTTTATTAAAGCAAGAGATAATGTGTCTGATGAAATTTAATCCAGGTTTTACTGTCAGGTACTCAGAGACTTAGATGAAGTACTATCAATTTGGTTTTAACTGCCAGTATATGATGATAATACTTTGAATGAAAATGAATTTTGTTTTGTACTGAATCTCACAAAGTATTTATTTTTGCATTAAAATACAACCATGCTGAAATGAACAAGCATTTCAATACAATCATTGGCATTTTCTAAAGTGACGAAATATATGAAAATTGTGATCAACTTATCTGTTTTATAAAGACTTACTTTGTTATTGGATAACTTGGGAATTGAGAATTCTAATGACCTTTTAATATATGTGGCGATATAATTTTTAAATGATTGCTACAATTAGACTATATTATAAATTTAATATATTTATCTGATACTTAGAACAAAACATAGTTGAGATATTTCAAATATGGTTGATATTTTACTGACTTCTGAGCCATTTCAGCTGTTATTAAAATTACTCAGATAAATAGCCTACTGCCTATTGATCTGAGTAATTTTAATGACAGCCTATTTCAATAGGCTGATTTAATATCAAATGTGGGTCAGTGAAGTTAGACAATGAAAGAAAAAAAGTAGAAATAGTAATTCAAATAATACAAGACAAGAAGCTTCATGGAGTCATTATTTAATGCCATATGTTATGTTACTTTTTCCCCCTAAATACTACAAAATAACAAGTAGTAAGGGGTATGACAAAATGTGGAAAAATTTCTTTGTTTCTAAAGCCTGTATGAATAGTGCACATTTTTATACAAGCCTTTTAAAGCTCATAAAATGACTCTGCCCACATCCTTTTGAGGAACACAGAGTAATTTCATTGTTGTTGTAGAATCACAAAAGATCAGAAAGGTTATATTTAAGACTTATTGAATATCTTGGAACCAGTGGGGCTGGGTTTCTTCTTTGTTTCTTGGATGTTTATCCACTGTAACTCATTTTATAAAGCATTTCCTAAAATATGTGTCAACTATATTTGTTGTATAACAGTATCTCAAAGCATGGTGATTTAAAACAACAGTGATTTGTTATTACATATTGTTCAGTTGGAGTGGAAGTGTTTATAACCATGTGGTAAAAGCTCACCTAGATGGTTCTTCTGTTCCCATAACGATGATCAGAGCCACTTAAATGGCTACATTCAACTGGGAGATTATCTAGGAGTGGAAAAAATCAAGATGGTCTGTGATCCTTCAGGGATTCCATTCAGGTAGTCTCTAAATATTTGGTGGTATGAACATTTTACAGAATGGCAGCCAGGCCCTAAAGAAAAGAAGCAGAAGCTGGCAGTTCTCACAAGGCCTACTAATAAAAATCCAAGAAGGTCAATATTGCTATAATCTATTGGCCAAGGCAAGGCATGGTGGGCCCAGATACAAGAGGAAAACAAAGAGCTTTCAGCAATTTTTGTTGTGAGAAGCAACATGCAGGAACAAGAATAGGAGGAATTGCTATTGGTCATATTTGAAGATTATGTAAAAATGTAATCCTACAAAACAAGCCACATACATACAGCAATTTTTTGATTAAAATTAGGAAAATATTTCATACCAAAGGGTGTAATAAACACATATATAGTCTATATCAATATATAAGTATTTATATAAACACACACGCATACATACTATACATACTCATTACTTTACTTATCCTAGTATTTCCCAATCTTATTTGATCAAGGTGAATTGTAGTTGAAACAACCACCAAAAATTTGCAAAACTATATCAAGCACATAACAGAGACATGATTTTACTGTTCTAAAAATAGTCATTTTAAATTTATCAGATATTTCTACTTCCATTATTTTATTTAACCGTTGTATATTGTTGAAATTTTAGTCTAAATTCAGGTGCATGTGAACTCTTGACTGTATATATGATGTAGGAAAAATAAAGCAAAACTGAAGAAAATACTGTCCAGAGAAATCCCATAGCCACCCATAAATTAAATAGACAGATTAAATCATTTGATTTTTGAAGATATAATTACAGATTAAATAAATTATTTGATTTTTGAAGATATAATTAAATTAGAAACTATGGGAAGATGGTAATTATTCATATATTCATTCTTCAAAAACAATTGAAATTCTAGAGGTGGGAGACACTGTGTAAGACAAAGGGCTAAACTATAAAATGGGATAAAGAATTTTTTTCTTACCTATATCCAGAAAGTTTATAATCTAAGAAAGTATGTAAGTAAAAATTAAGTAAGTAAAATTTTAAAGTGTTATGATAGGGGTTTGGATTGAAGAAGAACTTCCCATGGAGTTCAGAAGAAATGAAGAGAGGTATAAAAAGCACAGAAGATAAAATACAAGAAAAACAGAAACTTGAAAAATGAACATGAATTTATTAGCAAAAGAGTAGGGATTAAAAAGTAATGGCCTAAAAGAAACAATTTATGCAAAGCTCTTAGAGTAAAGAGAAAGCATTAGAAGCATTGGAATAAGTTCATGATATGTTATAAAGTTTCAGAAAAGAGACAATAAAAGATAAGATTGCAGAAGTAAGTAGTAATTAGATCATGTTTTTACCACATGTAAATAAATTTGCCCTTTAGTTTTAGGTTCACAGGAAGGCATTAGATATGCTTTGCTTGCTTATTTCAATCTTTGAAGCCATGTTTTTATATCAATCATGTGTGATAATGTGATGAATGGATCAGAGGAATTTAGGTCAGTGACATCAGGAAAATGTCATTGCAATGAAAAGGAGAAATAAGGGTGACTTGAATACAATAATAGTGATAGGAAAATTGCTTATTTGGGAGACATTTATTGTATAGACTCAATGAAACTTAAGGATCAAACTCTGGAAGTGAGAAAGAATTCAGGCCATGATTGAAGACTGCCAGTAATATTAATATGAATCAAGAACAACATTTAAGTTTCTGGTATTGGATGCTGAGTATGTGGTAGTATCATTCTCTAAATCAAGAAATATAGAATAAAATGATTAAATTGTTTGGGCACATGATAGATTAAGTTGGGGACACGTTGAAGTTGAAGTGTCTATTGTACATACAAGTGTACTTCAGCAGACAATTGAAGATTAAAGTTTGGTATACAGGTAAGATACCTTAGCACAGATTATAAATTTGGGTGTTTGCAATGTAAAAATGACTGACAGTCAATTTTTTCTGTGGTAACATGCCACAATAACTTTATGGCATACAATAACAAAGTCCTATAACAACTAACCTTGATGTTTACATTTCAACTGTGGGCTGGTAGCAAATCTACTCTAAATTGTGACTTAGTAGATAAACTGCACATCTGTTCAGATGTTTTGCTCAATATGAGATCTAAGCTGAAGTTGCAGTCTACCCATTGGATAACTAATTTGCAGAAGGAAAAGTGTGAAAAAGCTTCTGGAATGGTGTGGTGCTATATTCTTAAATCTATCTATCAGTCACTTCCACTCACATTTCATTGTCCAGAGCAATCAGATAGCCAACCATAAATTAAATAGAGAGGAAATTACTATCCTTCCTCAGAAAAGCCCTTGAAATTATATGATGGTGAACAAGGATGCATGATCCTTTTACAGAGTAAGAGTAAAAAATTAATTGAGCAAAAAATATTATTTGCTAGACATGGAAATAGAAAATATGGCTGCGGATGAGAATGTCCAAGGATAAGGAATCAGTAGAGTAAGTAGGTAAGAGGGGAAGACGACCTAGAAGAGATCCCTACATGACACTAAGAAATAAGAGAATGGATTTTCAGTTTTTCTGCTCTGTTTTTTCCCCATCTTTGTGGTTTTATCTACCTTTGGTCTTTGAAGGGGAATATCACACAGCGGGGCCTGTTGTGGTGTGGGAGGAGGGGGGAGGGATAGCATTAGGAGATATACCTAATGTTAAATGACGAGTTAATGGGTGCAGCACACCAACGCACATGTATACATATGTAACAAACCTGCACATTGTGCACGTGCACCCTAAAACTTAAAGTATAATAAAAAAAATGGAAACTTAAAAAGAAATAAGAGAATGGGAAGAGGGAGAGCGAGACTTGGAAGCAACCGAGTAAGTGGTCTGAGATTTAAGAAAAGAACCAAGAAAGTGTGGCATCTCAGGAGTCAAGAGAAAACATACACATATTCACACATACACCCATAGGGGTCTCCATTATTGTCAAATTCTGCCGGGTGTATAAAAAGGACTAAATGTCTATTATACTGCTATATGCTACTATATATCCATATCTGGAATATATTTGAGTAATTGTAAAGAATATAGGAGGAAAGAAAAATGTTACATGATTTTACCACCCGAAGTCCAATTAGAGAAGGTCCCAAGAAAATCACTATAAAATACGTGGAGTGCTTCCCTGGACAGAAAGTAGCCATAAGCTGCAGCTGGCTGTTTACATTGTCAGTAAACTCACTGACTTCTTCCTGTGCCTACTGAGTAGATGAAAAGCAAAGGGAGGGAGATGGCAGTATGGAGAATGAGAAGATGGTAGTGGAACACACTACGAATGTAACATCTAGAGTGGTAAAGATAGTAAAACTTCCAAGAGAATTTAGTCTCTCTGGACTGACCACTATCACAGACGCATTCATAGCTGGCTATGAACTATAATACCACAACAAACACTTAAGCAAGGGGATATGTGTCCTTTTTATTTTTTTTTTCCTACTAACCCTATCACGCTAAAAGACCCAGATCTACAAGAGATAAAGAGGAGATATCTCTGTGACTTGCCTGACTCTATGACATAGAGAAAGGGATCTTTAAAATTTAATATAAGACTGCAATTTTAAACTGGAGTGGACATTTTAATAATTCCAAGTAAATAAAAATGTATAGAATATTTTACATTTGTCATCAAAGATTAAAAAGAATATTTTATAGAGTGCAGTTTAAAACAGTGCAATAAATGATTTCATGCTTATGACTCAATGCTCAGTAGCAGTTACATGTAATGCCATGGGAATTCAATAATATAGATTCATGTTGACAATGGCTTGAGGGACCTGGGAAAATAGGGACAGAACTCCAACAACCCGCCATTTAAGAGACAAGCACAAAAAGAATCACTGGGACAACTGTGCCAGAGGCAGGGAAAAAAGACCCTGCAAATACATGAAGATGCTTTATCCACTTAAGGGAACAATGAAACAGACAAATGTTAGCACTTTTGGTGTTTGACAAGAGCCCACAATAATCTGAAATACAAAAATATCACAGCAGTCTGAGTAAGTCAAGCCACAAAAGGTAAAACACAGGTGCTGATTATCTGTTTTTCTGCTTACTTTTTTTTTGTTTTTTTTGGATAAGTATAAAATATAACATAAATCCTAGAGTATTCACTGTTATTCTTATTAGAAAAGGCCTATGGCTAAGAATTGCTCAAGACTGTAGTATCTGACTAAAATGGGAAACTCAAAGTCTCTTCAGGCGAGAAAGAACTAGATGAGGTGACTTTTTGTGTCATGACATTAGACCTGAAGTCACAAATTATTCAACTTTTCATTCCAAATTTTGGTAACATCTTCACACTACTTACAGATTGCTGTTTGTCAGGAAAAAAAAGACTATGGCCCTTGCAAATTCATTTTACTTGAAATTTATGGAATAAATAAGATGAGCTGGAGAGTCTTACTGTGTTAATGGAAGATAAAGGGATTACAAATAACACTTTAGAAAAGCTGGAAGTATGCAACTTTGCAGTATGGTATAATTGGGATAAAATAAGATTATATGTAAAACAACTATGCTAATGACCTTTATGTTGAAGAAGAATCAGCTTTAAATATTTAAGCTCAAAATATTAGATAAATTGTCCTGTATTTTAGATCACTAACTTATGTTGAAATATAACTTTGAATATACGAATAGACAATTAAGCTTCATGATGTTTATAATTTTTGTTATTATTTCGAATTTTCTACAAAAGACCCATGGATCTTTTTGACAGAGCTACTAAAATCTTCTAATGGCAATGTTATGAAAGTAGTATGAAAATGCTTTAGTCAACCATTAAGAACCTCTTGTGAGGATTGTAAGAAAAAATCTTTAAAGCTTAAAGTGACAAAAATAATCATTAAAGTACTATATGTTAAAATTTTAGAAATAAAATTTTCACATTCAATGACTCAGTGACCTTCCTGCTATTGAATATACTTTCAGTATTGCTAAATCTTTTCAAATTATTATCTTTTAAACCCGAATATTATCCAGATAGAGGAGAATCCTATTTGAATATTATAGCTAAAAAGTCCTCTATGTGTATGACCAGCAATTACATCATACAGAAGAAATGATTTACAAAAAAAAAAAAAAAATCACCTCTAAGCATGAAACAATTCCCACAAGCAAATACACGAGATGCAATTACTCTCTGTTACTAGGCCTCAAAAGAACAAGCAGCTAGACATTAGTGCTGTGATTGTAGTCCAGAATCTTTCAATGAAGAGGGTTGATTAATGTGCTTTAAATTAGAAGTGTTCAGGGAGTGAAATAACTTTTATTCATTTATTGCCATAGGAATCAATGCACAAGGGAAAAGAAATAATTTGAGATCTAGATTAGGCACTCTAATAGCCAAATTAAATCTTTACCAAATTTAGCAAACTAGTTACTCTACTGACACTGTGCATAGATCCTAGGAAAGAAGTCTTTTAGGTTTGTAAGGTGACAATATGAGAATTTTACTTCTTACGTTTTAGAAGGAATGAATTCACTATCAGATTTGAGCAATTAAATATCATTTAATAGGATAATCTCTTTTAGATATTAAGGTAGCTGAAAAAAATTATGAGACATTGATTTAGAAATTGTTTATGCACCTAAGAGGGGCATTTATTTTATATTTTTAATATTTCAATTGTATTTTTAAATCTTATCATAAGTCTAATTGTGGGAAAATATAATTCAATCAATTTAAATGCCTCCTTTAGAAGTCTGACATTCAGATATAGATTTGTAACCATCTAGATATAAACATTTCCCTCATCCTGAAAATCTCCCTTATGCTCTTTTGCAGACAATCTCTACCTCCAATTCTGAACCCCTGAAAAGCACTGGTCTGTTTTGACAACTATAAATTTGTGTGTACTTAAATTTCAAATAAACAGAAGAAAACAAGATACATTCTTCTGAATTTGACTCCTTTAATGAAGCATAATGCTTATAGTTTGTCCAAATTTTGCATCTATCAATCATTTATTTATTATTACTGAGTAGTATTCCACAGTAAAGACATATCACTATTTGTTTTATCTGTTGACCAGATAATGGGCATTAACATTGTTCCAGTTTTTTGCTTTTTATAAACAGAGATTCTGTGGACAGTTTTGTACTTTCTGTGCAAAACAAAAGAAGGTAATTTATTTCTTTTGGTCAAATATTTAGGGATTTTTATTCATTAAATACTTGGAGATTTCTGAGTCATATGGCTAGTACGTTTGAATTTATAAGAAACTTTTGTCCTGTATTCTAAATGGCTTTAGCACTTTTTCACTCCCATTAGCAACATACATTCAAACATTAACTGCTCAAACATGTGTTCGAAATCCTTTTTGGTTTAATTGACCTATATGGCTATTCTACCATCAACAAAATAGTGTTTTGACTATCATAATTTTATAGTTTGTAAAAAATAGTCTTTCTAGCCTTGATATTTATGTTTTCATATTCTAAATCATTTTTTTCCAGTAAATTTATTTAGAATACATTTATTTTCCAAATAAACAAAGAGTAACTTGTATATTTTTGCAAAAGTCTCACTATAATATTTATTTGCAATTACTTTGAATTTAGAAATAAATTTGGGAAGCAATGAAATCTTAATATTGAGTTTTCCAGTATACACACATGTTATATATATATCCATTAATTTAGATATTTCTTAATTTTCATCGACAATGTTTTATAACTTACAGTGTTGAGGTCTTACACATCTTCTCTAAAATTTATTTCTAAGTATGAACTTTTATGCTGTAGTAATGTGGTGTTTAAAATAACAACTTCCAAATGCCAATGACTAAGATGCAAAAATTCAAAAGTTTTTGCATATTTTTATTTTAAAATCTCATTGAAAATATAATGTTTTAATAACGAATTTCATTGCGAAATCTGATCTGACCTCAATTTATTAAGTGGAAAAAAAATCTCACAATAAATGGTGTTAGAACACTTAGGGTTATCATTTAGCCCATGTAATGTGAATATTCATAATTTTTGCTACAGACATTTTAATTAGTTTTATTACATAATGTTGCCCAAGGATTTAGTGTAGTAGTATAACTGCAGTATTGACTCACTAAATTCTATAAAATTCTGCATTTTGAAACACTTGAGACCACAAGAGAATTGAATGGATAAGGTTTTGTGGAAGAACACCTGAAAGGGAAAGTCAATTTTACTGACATTCAAATTTTCCTCAGGTATAATACATTCACAGAAGCAAATTCCCAGGTAAATGAAAGCTTGATATTCATCAGCCAGTTAGAAATTAGTGGATAAAGACTCCATGTTCACAAATAACCCTGAAGAGCAAGGGCTAAGGGGAAGTCAACTGTGCCACCACCTTGCTTTTGATCTTCCAGCCTCCAGAAGTGTAAGCAAATACACTTTTCTTGTTTAAGCCACCTAGTCTCTTTTGCTATGACAATCCTAGCAAACTCATACAATTAGAGTCAAAACTGAATTGCAATACCCCCATTTGGGGAAGAAATGGAACAGATCTAAAAAGAACCAGTAGGTACTCGTAAACAAGTGACGATAATATATATAGTATTGAGATGAAATTCAAAATCTGCTCAACATTTCTATGTCAAAACCTGCTCAACATTTCTATGTCAAAACCTGCTCCTAGCATATTATTAATTTCCAATTAAGGTTCGTTCTATCTTTCTTAGCATACTATTTATCCTTCAGTGACTAAGCCATTTGATCTGTAATTAAAAAATAATGATTTATAATTTTAAACAGTGACCAAGGCATCAAATCAAATATAATTTTCTGTTTGTATTTTTTCAACCTATTGTTACTCCTATTGATTCTTGTTTAATTATGAAATATTAAACAAAGCAACTTAATTTTAAAAACTTACTTTTATGTGACATTTTCACAAAAATGTTTTGAGCCATAATATTTCTCTGCATACATATTGTCATTGCTTCATTCATAAAAACATATTTATCAATTCCCTTTTTGTTAGGAATTGCTCTGGGCTCTTGGAATCTACTCATGATTTTTAAAAAATTAGTTAAAATTATTTACCTTCTATCCTTAACTATGTCATCTTCTAGTTTGGGAATACAATAAAACAAATTAACATAAAATTACATAACATAAAATATGTTAAAAGATGAGAAGTGTAGAATAACGGATATAAGAGATGATCAAAGGTAAAGGGATGAAGGACAAGCATGAAATTTTTTAGTCAGGAGAGACCACCCTGTGAAGAGGATGTCTGAGTAGTTAAAAAACAGGTTTAGAGATCATTCTGGAAAAAAAAAAAAAAGAATGTAAACTGGAGTTTATCCAGCATCCCCCCAAATCTTCAAGCCCATCAAGCAGGAATGAAATGTTACACATACATATGGTGTAAGATATTGATTACAAAATATATCAGCATAATGCTGGACTACTGAAATTAAGACAGTGACTCTCCTTAGCCTTCTACACTCATCATTAGTGTGGAAATGAATTGTCAAAGTAAAAAACTAATGATTGAGAACACGCAAAGTCTACAGCAAGTGAGTCAGCCATCATCTCTGTGCTTTGACAAAGACACAAAGGATGAGGGAAAGCCTCAGAGAGGAATAAAGAGAAGGCTTCAGATGTGCCTTCCTTGGAGGGTGTTGGCTTGGGGAAGCTGTAGGTAGGCTTATGGGATGAAGAACATTCTATCTGATTGGCGAGTAGTGTTTATTTGGCTTTCTCTGGCTGGTCTTAAGATGGAAGCTGAGATAAAAATTAGGAAAACTGACAATTATTAACCAAATTCTTGTCATTTTTCCTCGTGTATTATTTACTAGAGGTAGCAGTCTGACTTCCTAGAAACCTAACTTATAGCAGGCTGGCTTCCTGGGCCATTTACTGTGTAGATAAAGGGGTTCATTTCCTGAACAGGTGTTGCAGAATGTAGGTTAGAGTATGATTTTTACGTATGACCTAGCCATTGCCTGGTTGTATTTTTCAGTTTCTCAGTATGAACTAAAATCTATGCCTTCCAAACCCTCACATTTAGATCTTTGTCAAACTAAGTGCCTTAAATCCTCTGGAACCAATATCATTATGCCTTTTATTCGTTATTATGGTAGCCACACTAAGAATACCCAAGGCCCAAGTCAACCCTTATCTCTTAGAATAGAAGGCCTGGTACTTTCCCCATTCTTTCTATTTTTCTCACTTCTCTCCAGCTCCACCATATTCTCTGAAATTTATGATCCATTAGGAGCAAATTTCTATTTACTTATTTTTTTTTCCACGTTCCATTTGTCTTCACCTTCATGCTTTAATGAAAACCTGACTCTCTTTTGAGGACACAAATTTCCCTCAAGCCCTTTCATATAGTGGCTTCAAATAGCCACTTTCAGACAATTTTTTTCTCTCTCTCACTCTTGGGAAAACACCCATACAAAATTAGTTTTGAAGTCTCATTTAATAAGATCATATTACCCAATAACTCCTGTTGTTGCAGTCCTTCATCCAATTCACCTTTGTGTATTTCCCTTCAGTTTTCCATGATGTTAGCTCCTGGGTCAATGTACTCTCTTTAATATTACTATTGTTTTACCTCTTGGTATCTTGGTAGTAAAATATACATGTGCATAATCCTGCCAACTCCCAGCCTCTTAGTGTCTTGAATTTCTTCCTCCCAAATGTCTGTACTCCAGCCTTTCTCAGTCCCTTACTTGCAGGTACATAACCAGAAACTGTCAGTACTAAGCATAGCATAACTTCTAGAATAACAACCTTATACATCCAACTCATTGATCACCAACTCCTATCATTTCAGCTTACTCCTTATTACTAGCTCTGAAAATCTGTAGACATCATTGTAATTATCAATCCATTGCCTTCCCAACTATTGCAATGCCTTTTATTGCCTATACATCTGCAATCACCCAGTTTAAATTTTATGGACAAACATTACTTGCTTATGTTTTTGATTCCCTTCCCCTTCTCTCATGTCATTGTGCTGAGTTGATAATAGAACTCTGGCTGAATCTAACTTTCTGCAACTCTGTTGATTTCAGTGACTATGGACAGAAAAGCTGTCAGATGATTTTCTTTTCCAATTATAATATACATGTTGTGTAATAGATGTTAAATAGCTGTTCATTTCATTTAGATTTCATTCTCCAAACATATGCATTTTATTTCCATTTCTTTTTTCTCCAATCTACCTACTATTAATTAGTTATCTGTATGCTGTTCAACCTATCTCTTGAAAAAAATGAAATTCCAGGAAATCAATTTAACAGTGATAGTTCCTGATTCTGCCACTCGTTGTGACTTTGGGGATGTTATTTAAACTTTGTCGATGAAATGAGTATAATAGTAGTCGATGTAAGGGTTATATGTTTCTTATCTAAACAAGAATACTTTACCAAATTCTAAGATTTTACTACTAATTCTATAGCTACTACCACTTTTCCAATTATTGTTTTGTCATCACCATCATTATTTAACAGAAGGATTTGGAACATTCATCAAAAAACGTAAGGAGATGGTTTTTGTTTTAGTTTGCTGTGATCGACATAACAAAATGTCACAGCTCAGGCACCTTAAAAAACATACATTAAATTTTTAACCATTCTGGAGGCTAAAAGTCAGAGATCAAGTTCTCAGCAGTTTGGATTCTTCTGAGACCTCTTTCCTTGGTTGTGGATGGTCATATCTGTCTTCACATGGTCTTTCCTCTGCACATGCACATCCTGGTGTCTTTTTTGTGCATCCAAATTTCCTTTTGTTATAAAGGCACTATTTTATTGGATTAGAGCACATCCTGATGGTCTCATTGAAACTTGGTCACCTGTTTAAAAGCCATATCTACAAATACAGTGACATTCTGAGGCTCTGGAGGTTAGGGATTCAAACAGGAATTTTATGGAGAGACACAGTTTTGCCTATATCAGTTTGTATCATGCATCTCCACAAAGCACTGTCTTTTTCATGGAACCCTAACACAAGTACACACTTATTAATATTATCTTGTGCCTATTCATAATTCCAAATATTATGTTGTGTTTGTCCTAAAAGGGACTCACATCCAGGGATCCCTGAGAGGGACCCCTGCCCTCTGCCCAAGTAAATACTGCAAACTTCTTTGACCACTATACCTGTATGCATCCTGGAAATACCACCATTTTTCCTTTATGCTTTTAAAAACATTCCCTTTCTTCAGTCTCTGGATCAGAAATTCCTTGGCACTGGGCCTGATTTTAAAGGTTTCCATGTATCACTTCTTCAACCCTTAGGATAATTATGCCCACACAACACCCTTCTCTAATTATCACCACATCCTGTTTACACATTTATCCAAAATGTCCCAGTAGAGTGATAATTCTCATTATTTCCTGCTCTGCAGTAACATTACCAATTGAAGGAGGTATTCTCCTGTTGAATCTCCTTGGAATAATATATAAAATTGAAGAATAGTAATCTTTATTCCCCAGAAAAGCAAAAATAATTTTCATTAAAATTATGGGAGCCACATTTTGGAGCTGAGAAAGTATTCAAAGGAGACAGGCCTCCCAAACACAACAGAAAATAAATGACCTGACATATCACAAATATACTTTTTCAGAACTTTCTTGATAAGATTGGAAGCAATCTGTTAGATATTCACATGTTCCCGACCTCCAGATTTTCCTCTCCTTTAAGATGACTTGACCTGATATAGATCCCTATTCGAAGGAAAGATTGACCTTTCTAAGGCTTTATCACATAGTTCTTGACCTCATTTGGTCTTCTGTTCTCTTCGTCATGTCTTTTCCATTTCTCATTCCCCAGTGTTCTTTCTTCCCTCCATTAACCCATATATTAGTCTTTCTTATGCTTAAAAAAAATTGAAACTACTCTACTCACAATTTCATGTCCTATTTATTTCTTTCCATAATAGCATTCATCAACTGAAACAGTTAATGTCAATGTCTCTATTTCCACTTGATTCCCTAATGCCTTAAATCTGGTCCCTATCTCTATGACTACATAGAAAGAGCTTTTGCTACAATTACTAATGAATTCCTCGTCAATAAATCCAATCCCTGGGTTTTGTTTTCATCCTACTTAATCCTGCTGCAGTATTTGGCACTGTTGAATACACTCTTCTTTAGATCCCTTTCACTTCAGATAATTTAATCTGTGTGCTTTTTTTTCCCCCTGGACTTCAGTTTTTTGGACTTTTATTATGGCTTATGTTTTTCTACCTCACCTAAATTTTTTCCATGGACATATTTTGATATTTGGCTATTACTACACTATACATCTTATTCTCCCAGTTAATCCCATTTATTACAAGTATGTAAATTGCTATGAGAAAAGTCTCAATCAAGTGTAATGTCATGGTCTAGCTACATTTATTCATTTTTATTCTACTAGTATTTATATTTGAGCCTATGAAATAGAATGTTTTATTTAATCAATAATATGATACTTAAATTTAAAATATGTATGAACTCCATATTGTATTTCTAGGTATGTACTACATATCTCCATTTTTATGTTCCAAAAGTAGCTGAAAGTTAATAATACAATTATTGTTTTCTGCAAATCTCTCCTTATAATGCATATTATATGTCATTTCACTCCTTCACTTATATATACATTAAAAATATTAACTTCTACTCTGCATCAGGCACAAGTTACAGCAGGCCAACATTTCTACTCTAATGGAGTTTACATTGCGGTGGAAAAATAGAAGATAAGTAAATGTCTAGGGTTCGTATTCATGAATGTTAAGAAGGAAAATATAAAGCACAGAAGTAGATACCATGTGTGCAAGATAATTTTGATTATATAAAACTCTTAAGTAAAGACCTAAAGGAAGTAAGGGAGCTTGTTTTAACTCCCAAACGTAACTGTGGGATTTGCAAGCAAGTGCAAAAGATCTGAGGTGGGAGTTTCCCTGTCTGTATTTGGAGAAAATCAAAGGAATCAGTAAAACAGAGTCCACAAGGGAAAGTAATAGAAGTTGAGGTCAGAGAGGTAATAGGAAGAATGATTCATATAGTGCTTATAAATCACAGAGTAAGTAACTGAGCATGACATTGAGATTTTTGGTCTTGGCACCTGAAAAATTAAGTAGAATTCAACTCAACTTAACTAATACTGAGAAGATTGCAGAAAAAGCAATCTTAGCAGTGATTTTCATATGCTCAGTTTCAGGAATATTACATGTGATGCAATAGTTTAGTTATAACATACTAATCTGAAATACCTGTGGAGAGCTGCACTAAGTATAGTTTTGTACATTTTTAGTAAATATATGGCATTTTAAAACATTAAAATGGATGATACTCCAAATGGAATGGGTGAATGGATAAAATAAATGTTGTCTGAATTTTGAGCCCTAGATTCCTTCTAAATTAAGAAGTCACAAAAACTAGGAGAAAGTGGTACAAGACAGTGAGACAGGGTAGCAAAAAACGTAAGATAAAAACTAGGCAGGTGTGGTGTCTTAGAAGTCAAGAGATAAAGTATTTCAAGGAAGACAGATAATTGTCTGAGACAATTGCTACAGTTTGGCCAAATCATTTGAAGACTGAGCAATGATTTCATACTGCTATGATTGCCTACATTTTGGCAGGGTTTTAGATGGTCTTTTACAAGATTATGATAAACACATGTGGTTGACTATGTTTTGGTTAGTAGCCACTAACAAATAATGTCCATATCGTTTACGTCATTGGATGTTGCAAAACAGTTATATTATAATTCTATGAATTAGTCTTGTATGGATACAAATAACATTAGAGGGATATATTTTCCCTCATCTGCCATATGGTTACCCAGTAATAGAGGTCATATAAGAAAATTAGCATAAGTGCTCGCTACTTTCCTTTTATTTACCAGTTTTCAAGACAATGATTTGGTTTCCTATCTGCCTTCAATAATGATAATTCCTTTTTTATATTTGTTTTTATAAAAAACTCACTGATTTAAAAATAATTGATGGGTTTCTGTACACTGTAATTATTATCATCATTTTAGAACAATTTTTTCTCATATTGGCTACTGGTAGTATATTTAAGTTGGCTTCAAAGATCTTGTGACAAATTTTATAATCTTTAAGAACATCTTGCATAAAAAAGAAGTATCTTGTTTAGGCTCATCTTTAACATCTCCTCCTCTAATTCTGGAATCGGCCATTTCTCCAAAATCCCTTTGTGAGGCTTTTGGAGGCCTTATTATTAATTATTAATATCAGGACACAATCTCTACTGAGTTGCTCATTGCTCAGGGTATTTTCAGTGGATACTGTTAGAAGGTTAAAAGTGTGTGTGTGTGTGTGTGAGTATGTGTGCGTGTGTCGAAATTAGAATCATCATATATCTGTATGTATATATCATATCATAATATTTTACATTAATGATTTCAATCAAATTCAAGAATACAAGCTTATTTAAATTTCCATACTATATCTGTAACTTCTTCCACACTGAAGATTCTGCTGTTTAAGGATGTAAGACATTATAGAATTTACTTATTTCAAATTCTTTGTTTGTTCTGTCCTATTTTACCCACTTAAAAGTCTCAGAATAGCAATGCTACCACTGTTATTTATTTAAACATTGAAAAAATTGTGCATATTAACTAACCATTCCCTTCCTGTTATTTTGATAGTTGGACTTCTTATTATCAAAGTATAAAACTACTACAACCTTTACTTTCTGCCTCTGTCCCTCTTACTCCACATTTTCTCTTAATTATACAGGTAACATTACATTTAGTGCTCTCCATCAATACTTGATGTCCATGTCTCTCTAGTCATTTGGGTTGTCTGAAGGTCACTCTGAAAGTAGTTATTGGAACAGTGTACCCTGTGACCTTGTATGCTGGTTAGTTTGTACATGTTTTTTCTGGATACAAAATCCTTACTGCATAATTTCCTTCCTCATATCTTAAATATTTTACTTCATTACCTCTTGTCATAAAACCCATGCCATAAAAAGACTGATTACATATATATTTCATCTATTTTGTTTCTTCTCTGCTTAATTTTGAACCTATTGATTTCAAATTCTTGTCCCCAGGGAACCCTGACCTAGATAGAAGGGAGCCCTGGAACACAAGTTTTCAAAGGTCATAAAGGATAAAGTGTTCATCCCTCAATCCTGCTTATTGCAGGCCTATGAAACACGCCGGTGTGGGCCCTTTCCCAACATTGTTTCAGCTGCTGTTTAAAAATATTCTTGCTATATTCTTTCCTATGAATATCTATTGTTTATGTTAGTGTTTCTCTGTTCTTAAGTTCATGAGAATTTGCCTTTTTGCTTGCTTACTTTTTTTTTCCACAAAAATGTTGGCACAATACAGATTTTATGGAACTGGTCTTCTTTCTAATCTGCTGGAATTTTGGAGTTAGTATGTATATTTTGCCACTTAGTTTTGTTTGACATATTGTTCACAGATTTCTGATTTTGCTATCTAGTTGCTGTCAGTAAAAAAGTACATTAACATAACCATTATCTCACCCTAATGCTCTCCAACAGAATCACATTTGACTCTGACCCTCCACTATACAGTATTGATGTCATCTTTGGAAGCGGTCACCCAAAGGAGTATCTGAAATAACAGGTTTTCAATCCCTATTAATTTTGTAAAGTAGCACATTTAAAATCTAGTTTTCACTCAAAGCATTTAAAATTATCTCAAAAGCCGTGACATTTTAATTAGTAACCTGATAATTTTAGATAAAATATAAATATATTCTCAGGGAATTTTATTAACACTTCTGCAAGGTAAATCATGAAGACTAAATAATTCTTAACTCTAATCACAATCTCAGTCAATAAAATTCCTTTAAACAGGTTAAATGTACACAAAATTTTTATACACATTATTGGTTAGTGATATAAATATTCAACTGAGCAATCTTATAGGCAAATAAGACAACCTCCATACACAAGTACTTAACAACTTTTCTGAATATGATGAGAATATTATTATGAATCGAATACAGTTAATTAACTTACATACAGTACAGAAAATTTACTACAATTTTTAGACATTCTTTAAATTTATTTTTTGATATATTTGTACTTAAAAAAGTTTACAGTAAATTTACTTTTTCAACTAGATTCACACTATTTGTTTTCCGTATGTCTAATATATCAACTTCCATTTAAAATTACAAACACTTTAATACCAAGCATATTATTATTAATTCTAAAATAAAATTATTAATGAATGGGTTTTATTAGCTTTATTACATACATTTTAATCATAAATTATTATAGAAATGAAAAGTTAGGTATTTATTAAGAGAATTTTGGTTTTGCAAAAAAAGTCTGATTATTGAATCTGTAATTTATGATCTCAAATCTCAAATACGGTAAGGATGTGAACTGATAGGAATATTAGATTAGGTTATCAGATCTTCTGCTAATATACAACCAGCATCACATATTCTGATTGAAAATACTGAGTAATTTTTATATTCGTTGCCATAAAAAGTGCTGTCACTTCATAGACTTTACAAGAAGTTAGTTTCACAACTTGGGTTCTTCAGAATTCTGGTTATAGCTTTACACTATTTTTTCCTCTGAATTCAAAATAGAAACTATCTCTCTAGGTTGCAACGAACTATGTCTATTTATTTATTATTTTATTATAATCTGTATATTTTTAATCATCTTGAAATCTTTAAAATTTTCTCATTCTTTTTCTTTCTCAATTTGTTTTATATAATTTGAAAGATTCAAATTGTCTAATTTAAAATGTATAATTTGATAAGTTTTGACAAATATGTATATTTGTAGAGTCGCAACAATCATCAAAATGTAGAATATTTTCTGCATGCACAAATATTTCTCCATGGCACTTGCAGTCCATCTCCTCCTCTGGGCCAGAACCAGACAACAACTGATCTGGTTTCTGTCATTGCACATATTTGAATTTTCTATTTTTAAATGCAAATAGTATTATACAGTATGCGCTCATTTGTGTCTGCTCTTTTCACTCAGCATAAAGTTTTTGAGAGCTATCTGTGTAGTGGCAAGTACCATTAATCCATTCTTCTTGATCACTCTGTAGCATTCCATCAGATGCACAATACACTGTGATTATCTACTAAACTGTTGTTGGGCATTTCAATTACTTACAATTTCAGGCACTATAAGTAAAGTTGTGATAAACACTCATCCCCTGTTGAGTTACATAGTAGGTATTATTTTTCCGTATAGTAAAGATCTCTTTTACATTACAACTAAGTGATAACAACTTGTATGTTGTGGTAATAATTTAGCTGTTTAGATGAGCAGACCAACATCTGCTATCATTGTGGTTAAATATATGTAGCCATTTAAACGGGTGTTGCCACAAAAATGACATTTTCTAGCTGTGTAATGTTTTAAAATATAAATATCTTTAATAAGGCTTCTTATAAAATGTAGCTGTTTGGGAGGAACCATTTTACTTTATTCCTATATTTTTCTGTACCTACGGGAGTAAAACATTAACTAAGTGATTTCTGTGTTACATAAATGAAGCATAACAAAAAATATGATTGGATAAAATAGTTATTAAATAGTGATATATCTAAATTTAAACATTAGTCATGATGCAAAATAAAAGAAAGCCTAAAGTACAATATCTGAACATTGAAGCTTGCAGGTGTTTCCCTAAAGACAAAAATGACAGAAGAGTCAGTGACCTGATAATTGCACCCCATGAAGATCAAAGACCTGAAAGATAAAAACGGATCCTCTCACTGAGCCTAAACTGGTCCTTCAGGACAGTGATTGACAAAATTCAGACACACTTTGGGAAGATAATGAGGTCACCAGAGAGGACTGAGCATGCTTGTTGGATTTTGTATGAAGGATTCTGAGAATAGAATTTCCTGGGAGCACTCAATCCAAGCCTTTAGTAAACTGTAGTGGCCTACCATTTTACTAATAAACCTAACTATTCTGAATTAATTAGTTACTGTGAGATATTAAGGCAGGATTACTATATAAATAAAATCAAATATATCAGTAATTGAAACTCCTTGCTTTTCTGTTTTGAGCCTTGATCTTCTAATGAAGAAATTGAATCACTAAGAAACCCAGTATGTTGATTTTCATGAGGTGAATGAATGAGGCATTGGATAGTCTTTCATGGGGAGAGGGTGAGTGTGTGTGAGTGTGTGTGTGTGCACGCAGGTGTGAGTGTTTCTGAAATTACAAGTGAACCAAATATTTAATGGTGAGAATCATGAAACGTAGCCTTTAAGTGCTTTCTATAATTTTTTCCAGATCTTCCCCGAGGCACTTGTAGGATTAAACCTCTCTGACCTTTAAGATTACATGGGGCATGTGACTTTCTTTGTGCAATAAAACATGATAATAAATGATACATGTTATTTCCAGGCAGAAGTTAAAACAGGCAGTGTATGCCTTGCCACATTCAGAATGGAGTTTGTAGATTACTTTTGCTTCCCATTAAAACATTGAGAGAAGAAAATGTAGCAGATCAACCTGTTACCGACCAACTTAATAGCAAATGATAGAAGCACAGTGTGAAATACAGAAAACCTCGGTCTTAGTTCATTTGAGTTGCTATAAAGGAATACCTGAGGCTGGATAATTCATTAAAAAAGAGTGATTTACTTGGCTTATGGTTCTGCAGGTTATACAAGAAGCATGGCACCAGCATCTGCCTCTGGTGAGAGCCTCAGGAAGCTTCTACTCATGATAGACGGTGAAGGGAAGCTGGTATATGCAGATCATATAGTGAGACAGGAAGAAAGAAAGAAAGAAAGAAAGAAAGAAAGAAAGAAAGAAAGAAAGAAAGAAAGAAAGAAAGAAAGAGAGAGAGAGAGAGAGAGAGAGAGAGAGAGAGAGAGAGAGAGAAAGAAAGAAAGAAAGAAAGAAAGAAAGAAAGAAAGAAAGAAAGAAAGAAAGAAAGAAAGAAAGAAAGAAAGAAAGAGGAGGAGGTTCCAGGCTCTTTTCTTAGTTCCCAGGGGAATTTCTTACATTCCTGTGAGAATGGCACCAAGCCATTTGTGAGGTATCTGCCCTAACAATCCAATCACCTTCCACCAGGTCCCACTTCTGACATTGAGGATCAGATTTCAACACGATACTCGTATATACAAACTATATCCAAATTATAGCCACCTCCATAGCAGCACTTAAAGATGCCTTTATTTTCTGAAAGTTAGAATGTCCTCAAAATTTAGCACAAGATCTGATTATAAGAATAGTAAAACTTAGGTTTGAACATGGTGGCTCGTGCCTGTAATCCCAGCACTTTGGGAGGCTGAAGTGGGAGGATTGTTTGAGACTCAGTCTCAAAAAATATTTTGGAGGCTCAGTCCCTAATAAATGTAAAAAAATAATAATCACGAGTGGTGGTGCCCAACTATAGTCCCAGCTATTGAGAGGCTGAGGCGGGAGGATTGCTTGGTCTCGGGAGTTCGAGGTTACAGTGAGCAATGATCACAGCACAGCACTCCAGCCTGGGTGCAAGAGCAAGACTTTATCTCAAAAAAAAAAAAAAAAAAGGAAAAGGAAAAAGAAAATAGAATACTAGAATTCATAGACATTGAAAATGTCTGAGGAAAAAGAAAGGAAAAAAAAGTTAGTATTTTATTAGAGAAGTAGAGAAAGCGTCTAAGAACCTTGAAAACCCAGATTCCCCTGAACCAGCCAAGCCAACAGACTTATCTGCCTCCCACTGGACAGACTCCCTTTTCTTGCCAAGTGTGAAAAGGACACACCTGAGACAGATGCCATTCAAAGTGGTTGGCTGCCTTCTTGTAAATCTGCCCCACTCTTTTTTATACCTTCTACTTGGCAATTATATAAACTGGATGTCTTCATCTGCTCATGCTTCTATAACAATACACCACAAAATGGGTGTAAATATGTTTCTCACAGTTCTGGAGAAATGTAAATGTATATAGCGTAAATGTATTTCTTACACTTCTAGAGAGTCTGGGAAGTCTAAGATTAAGATACCAGCTGTGGGGGGTGGTCTGCTTGCAAGATGGCTTCTTGTTGCTGCCTCCTCTGAAGGGGAGGAATGCCGTGTCCTCACATAGTGGAAGGGACAAAAGGGAAAAAGAGGGTGAACTCGGTCTAAAGCCACTCTAATAAGGACATTAATCTATTTATGAAGGCAAAGCCCTCATCACTTCCCAAAAGGCTCCACCACTTACTATTACCACAATCATGGTTAAGTTCAACATAAATTTTGGGGGACACACACATTCAAACCACAGCCTCATGAAAATCACATGAAATGACATTGAAAATGCAAATTCTTTGGGCCTATCCCAGATTTAGTGATAAAAATTTCTAAGGGAATCAATCAATATTTTATCAAGCCTTCCAGGTTATTCTAATGCATGATTTAGTTTGAAAACACTATTTTAAACTAACAAGAAAGGTAGTATCTTTTCTACTTTAGGGAGAAAGATATCATTCCTAAAAAAATCTTGAGGATAGGCAAAAATGCCTAGGAATGAATCTTTATGGTGTTTGAGGTGGGATTATAAAACTGGATAGTGGATAGTATTTGATATGAGAACTCTATAATTTAAGGCTAGAGTGAGTCTTCATATTCTTCTGGAATAGTTCCTTGAAACTTAAAAAATAAAGTTTATTGTAAACAAGGTAGAAATTCTAGACCTCCCTGGAAAGAATACTGAGTAGAAAAGAACTTTTTCAGGTAAATGTTTGTTGCAATGTCTGGCTTCTAAGGATTCATGTCTTGGACAGACTTTAGTAGAAAATTCTATACCTGATTTTAGGAAAAGAGATAGCTCTACAGTTTGTCTAAAAGTTTTAGCCTTTGCCTCTAACAAAATTTTAAGACAATGTGGCCAATATTTTTAATGATTACTTGCTGACATCATTACACCATTCCCATTAAAATGCTATAATCAACTGAGATCTCCTTGAATTCTTCCTTATTCTATCTCTCTTAGGGCTCCTATTATATATATTCTTTTGTACTTACACCCATTCTCTGCAGGATAATAAACTTCTTAAAGGCAGGCATGCATTTATAATTAATTTTCTGTGTACTTCTGCATATTTAAGATAATGTCTTACACACGTAGAAGTTCTGTAGATTGGTTAAGTTTAAATATATCACCTTAACATAAACATTAGTACACCAATAATGCTAATAATATATTTAATATACTTTTTTTTCTAAAAGGCATTTTTAATTTTGTGAACATGAGATTAGAAAATAGGAATTCACTTACAAATGAACCTAGGACTTCTTCCATCACTTGTGCCTAGAAAAATGATCTTGCTTTGGACAAAAGCAGGGAAGTTGAAATATATAGATCATTTGAAAAGATGATGACTTGACCAAAGTTTTGGAACTGGGGAGTGGGACATGGTGTTGTACCATGAATATGACCACAGCTAAGGTGCAGAGAATATTTGGAAGATTTAGATTTAGAATATAAATCTGGAGGCTGGGTATTAAATAGAATATGAGTTCTACAGTAGAATTACCTTATCCAATCACTCACTTTCTAGAGACCATGAGCAAACCATAACAAATTTCTAAGGTCAACTTCCTTTTTGCCTGATGAAGGTAATAATAATATCTATGTTGTAGTGTTAATATAGGAAGAAAATGAATTATTTGAGGAAAATATTGGAAAGAAATAATTTAGGTCAAGATTTTGCTATAAACTGTAATTATGTTTATTTAAAAATTGGCAACCAGTAAGAAATTATTTTATGTCCTTGAAATTGTTTAGAGTCTACTATGATAGTTTGCTAATCCATTCTTTTATATTACCATGAAGATATTCTCTTAATAGAAAAAAATTTCAACGTTTTCATTTTTATTTGGACACTACAGGGTACCTTTTGTCTATGTGTTTGTGGTTTAATTATGAGCCTGGTAGGTACATTTTATAATGAATGTCCATTACACTAAATGTCAAGTTATCATATTATTCATAATGTTTATGATATTAAACATTTTAACATAATATTTTAAAATAATTATTATATCTAAAATAAATATAACATTACACCAATCTGATTTTTTTCCAATGCCTGTATTCTCTATTTATTTATTTAAATACGTTTACAGAAAGTCATAATGGTGTCCTTGCTGAGTGAAACTACATGAAACAATGCTTTAGTGATATGAATCTAAGGTCAAAAATAAATTAATGTTGTCTCTGGGAGTGAGTTGACTACTTTTGCTTCTTAGGACCTAAAAGAAGTATAGACTATTCTTTTTAAGTATAACAAAGTTAAAATCTTATTTATTATACCTTTATCATTCCACTTGACTATCATATTTTAAAAATATATTTAAGTAAAACATAAATATAGGAAATGGACAAATATTAAGAAAATTATCTTATGAGCTACTCAATACATTTACATCTATATTCATTTATTAGTTATTCATAATTGCCCAAAACTGGACACAAATATCCGTCAACATCAGAACAAACAAAATATGTTATATTCATATGAAATGCTAAATAGAATTGATGGTGAACTACTTCTATGCTTAAATATCCAGATTGTAACAAATAAAAGTGTAATGATAAAAAAAACAACAGATATTCTACAATACATGTATCCATTTATATATGAAGTTCAAGTTTAGATAAATTTATTATATGTTCATACATATTAGACTAACTGTTACCTTTGCATGAGAATTATTGACTAGAAAGGGACATGGGGAGTCTTCATATTCTACATAACAAATACAGGTAATATTTTTGAGGTTAATGAGTTAATTGTGTTAAATTAAATGGATATCTTCCAATTTGGCTCTTAATACTCATTTTTGCAATGGTGAATGTTTATATCAACTACTTATTTTAATTAAAAAAATTTTGAATGAATGTCTTTCAAAACCTGGCAAAATTATAAATTATTTTAATATTATAGGTAAAATTGGGCATTTTTCTTTCTAGTTTAAGTACTAATGTTAGAAAACTACACTGTGCATTCTAGAAATATTTCAAAATGTTTTAGTCAAACCATATTTCATTAACAGACTTTTCAAATACATCTTCTAGTAAAACTGGACAAATAAGTCTGCATAAAGGAACAGAAGAATCTTCTCTTTTCCTGAATCCTGTTCCTAAGTGCACAGGTCTGTGATAATTCAAAGAAGTAAAAATTACTGCCTAAGTTTAAAACTCAACCAGGGACATGTGAAACAGCTAGAAAGTAACAGCAAAATTAACAAGAAAATGCTTGTGAAATTCAGAGAAAGGTTGAATTGTAGATAAGATTTTGTAGCCCATGAGTTTCCTTCAGTATGGAATAAGCATGAGGGGTATTCAGATAGTACAAACAAGGTGAACAAAAACAGAGTTAAAAATTCTAATGTTATTATTAATAGACCTTCCTAACCAGTTTAGTTAAAGCTACAGATTACGTGATCCACTATTATTTATATTAATAGATCTTTATTAATATAAACACCTATTATTAGATCTTTATACTTTCATTCCAGATATTTATCAGTCTAAAATTTTAATTAAAATATTCACAGTCTGCATGCTTCCTACAACATACTGTGTTTTAGGGAGGTAATACATAAATACATTAATATATGAATGTAATTTATGGTGCAGTATATACAGAAAAAGAGCAGGAAAATAATTAACCGCAAGATAAATAAAATAATAATTAGCTTAATATATACTACCAGTTAATCACTTACAAATTGGAATAGAAGAAATATCACATTCATAAAAGCAACTAACATTCTAACACCTTAAAATGAACACCCTCACACATACGCTCCAAACTAAAAGTTAAGAAATAACTTAATTAAGTTATTTCTTAAGTAATATTAATTAATTAATATTAAGTTATATCTTAATTAAGTTATTAAGAAATAACTTAAATTCTTAAAGAAACAGTAAAATATAGTGAGTTTTCAGATATAATGTTTCTCATGTTAATAAAGTTTCCTTTTATCCCAAATTTGTTAAAAAGAAAAAGAGCTAACTAAAACACTAACAGAACAAAACAGCAAAATTTAAATGAAATGTAAAAACTCAAACACACACTTCTCAACTTACGTTCGGGCTACACTGCAATAAGCCTATCACAAATAGAAAATGTAAGTCAAAAATGAATTTACTACCCTGATAAGCCCATAGTAGTCAAAAAGTCATAACTTGAACCATTAAGAACCATCCATATATGGGAACAAATTGGAATTATAAAGGGTTCATAATGTGAATAAGTAATATTGTAAATATGATTTTTTCCAAAATATGTGTCCATATTGCAAATATGTCCTTTTTATTATTCTATAAAGAAAATACAAATATGTATACAAAAGAAATCAGGATTTTTAAAATCCTCTTTTGCTTGCAAAATATCCTCAACTATTTTTGGAACAATAAATGAAACTGGCTTTCAAGCATGTTTCACGTTTTATAAATTTATATCAATGAAATGTGTGAGTTTAAGACCAAGATTAAAAAATACAAATAAATGAGCATAATCACATACAAATATTAAATACAGAAATTTAATGTATGATATAGGCAACATTTCTAACGAGTAGCTAATGAAGAGGTGAGACAATATATAACGATGAAATATTTGACTATTTGTAGTAAAATTAAAATTAGATGAAATCTCGAAGCCATATGAAAAATAAATTCCAGATTGATTTAAATATTATAAATAACGCACATTTGAGTGTGTATATGTGTGTGTTTGAAATATTTAGAAAGGTTATGTATAAATGGTAAGCACTATCTCTGGGGAGGAATTCGATCATTAGAATTTGTGTGTGTGTGTCTGTGTGTGTGTGTGAGCTAAAGTCTCATTCTGTTACCCAGTCTGGAGTGCAATGGTGTCATCTTGGCTCACTGCAACCTCTGCCTCCTGGGTTCAAGTGATTCTCCTGCCTCAGCCTCCTGAGTAGCTGGGATTACAGGTGCGCACCACCACACCTGGCTAATTTTTTATTTTTAGTAGAGATGGGTTTTCACCATGTTGGCCCGGGTGGTCTTGAATTCCTGACCTCAGGTGATTAACCTGTCTTGGCCTCCCAATGTGCTGCGATTGCTGGCATGAGCCACCGTGCCCAGCCCGAATGTTTCTAATATGGGCTTTTGCTTGTTACACTCTAACATACAGCTAGATTTGTAAACTTTTCATAAGAAAAAGTAAAGGGGAGTAGAGGAGCTAAGGAACAGAGTATTGAGAAATTGAAAGAGAGAGAGAGGAAGGGAAGGAAAATGTTGAAATGGAAAAAAGCAAGCAAGCAAGTCTAGGTTGTAATGTGTACCTTAGACAGATGTAGATAAGACTGTCATGAGACTTTGACTGCTACTGTACAATAACTTGGTTCCTCTAAATTCCTGCCAAAATTCCTAGTGGTTGAACCTGGATGAGCTAACATAATAAATATTATTGTAAAATCAGACTCAAATGAATTAGCGATCTTATTCAAAATCAGGGTGTACTAATAATTTCAAGAAGACAAGCAATCAAGAGGCAGAGGAAAAGCAGGAAGAATGTCTAGAACAGTGAAGACAGTGTCAAGGCCCCTTGTTTCATATCAAGCACACATCTCTAGACCAGAACATCAACAGGGAATATTTAAGTTATAAGACATCTCCATTTTATACATCAAATGGTAGCATAGCTTATGTGACATTATGCATATCTCATAAATCTATATATTCTACTTTTGTTTATAATAATTCTAAATCAGGACTAAAAGTATTCCATATAAAAGGACAATTTCTTGCATATACCATCATACTACTTATCAGAATGTCCAGTTATTAAGTTTGCAAGCAAATGAGACCAAATGTCTTCTTCCCTTCCCCTTGTCGCCCTAGTACTGAGAGATAAATGGATCTCAGGCTGGTTGCTTTAATTTCTTCATTCCCATTGGATATGAGGACATGATCCAAACAAGATCTATTCCCTGGGAATAGAATAATAAGAAAAATTCTCTTTTTTTCCTTCTTGAAATTTTAGTAAAAGCTGCTTACAAAAGTAGTATTCATGGGCCCTATGATGTACCATGGTTTAACATAGTGTCTTAAATGCTTTTAAACATTAAAACCTAATAAATGATTCTTCTATTACTTTAGTGATATAAATGCATGCATTATCATTGAGCCATGTCAAACATTATTAGTCTATTAATATAAATGTCAAAATTGGCACAAATGTAAAGCCTATCAATTTTATGCCTTTTATTTTGTTACCACAAAACTGAGTCAACTAAGAGTGCTTGTGTTCTTTGATGTTAGAAGAGAATTTGTATTAATACAAATACAATTTCCATCTTTAGGTGTTTATAAGAATCATTTTTGAATAAGCATCATGAGAGGAATTTATATTTACATCTTCAGTGTGACACAGATAAAATTGTTTGATGCATGAAACAGTAATAATTCACAACTCATGTCCTAAAACTAATTCTAATAAAGATATGCAAACAATGCACATGACATAATTTAAAAGATAACCCTGTGGAAAATCATAATTTACTTGAACAAGACCAAATGAATATTTTATAATCACATGAAATTCACTGGAATAAATAACAAATAATTCATTACCAGAGCTTACATGATGTTAGGAATGAACACAATAAATGAAAGTACTCTATGAATTGCAATCAAATAACAAGAAAGAATATTTACTTAAATCCATAGTAAAACCAACTTCACCAATTTCTCTTTCAACTGTGTCAAAAGTGGGTTCTAGTCTAATAAATGTAAAGCCATTTTTTCAAGGTGTGCCCATAATATTGAAAAAGCAATATTTTTTAAAAATGTCATTAAAAACTAAACTTTAAATATGACACAATAATATTATTCTGAGTAGTACTTTGATATTATTCATAACAAAAGTAGCATTAAATTTTTAGGGTTTAAAACAAAAGGCGTTATAATAAAAGGGATTGATAAAGCTTGGTGCAAAATTGTCTTTTAAAATTAGGCTAAGGAGGGAGTATAGTTCAAATGAAGTTCAAATGCACAATAAAAGTCTATCAGGGTTTTTCCTTAAAAGTTCATCAATATACAGTCTTTACTGAGCATATATTATGGACCAGGCTGTATTCTGGGTACTGGGGTATAATTTATAAGACAGAGAATGTTCATACATTTTCTAATTAAAATTCCTTAAGAAGATCATGGAAAATTAAACACTCTCAAAAATCACTGTAAATGGCTACATGGTTTTATAGAATGATATAATAGACAATAATTTTAGGATTACTTTAGGTGAAAGAAAAAGCCCTTCTGAGATGGTGATTCAATTTTAGATTTCAATCACATGAAACTGGCTAAATAAGCCACCCCAACCAGAGGGGACACAAGCGCCCTAAGGGGAGAACGTCTTCAAAGTATGAAACAAACAAACAAAACTAGTATGGCAAGAGCAAGAGAAGCTGCCAAAGAAGAGAGGAGATGGGCCCAGAAAAGTAGTCAGGGTCTTTATAAGCTAGAAAGTGAGTAATTTTTCACTACATTCATTGAGTGCGTGGATCATAAAATTTAGTGAGGTACTGACACAATTTTTTAACGTTATAACTTCATTTTCCCTCTTTCATTCATTCCATTTCACCTCTCTCTTCCATTTATTTATATTCTATGTATCTACACATGATTGCATATCTAGCTATAGAGCTATAATATACACTTTTAAAATTAGAAAACTTAGTATTATTTATTTTAAAGTTGCAAACGTATAATTTGCACATACTGAAAAAATGGGAAAACAAACATAATTAAATTGACATTGAGTTGCTATAAGTCAGGATCAGAAAATACATTTTCTAATGTAATTAGATTATATTCATTTTCTATTATTATGTAACCAATTACTATGCATTATGTAGATTAAGGCCTAAAAGAACTTACATTTATTATCTTACAGTTTTTGTATGTGAGAAGTTGGGGCTGAGCTTAACTGCATTTGCTGCTCAGGGTTTTGGAGGTAGCAGTGAAGGAACTGGTTGGGCTGTGTTTTAAGCTAAGTATATCCATCCAAGCTACCGCATGTTCTTGGCAGAATTCATTTCCTTATCGTTGTATAACTGAGGACCTTGTTTTCTTGCTTGCTTTTAAACTGGGGGACTTTTTCGGCTCCCTTTGGCCACACACAGCCTTTTACCATATGCCTTTCTCACAACATACCAGCTTACTTCTTCGGAGACAGAAACAATATTTTGATTCTATCTTCCAGGACAGAATCTTATCTGACAAACATGCAACTGGTTGTTCATCATCTCTGCCTTATAATATAGCTTAATCAAAGGAGCCATGTCTCATTCACCTCTTCTGTAAAATAGCCTAGTCTCAAGAGTGACATCCTATTATTGTCAACAGATGCTATTGGTTAGAAGAAAGTCATAGATACCAGTCACACACAATGGATTATAAAGGGTGCAACACCAGAGTACTGATATTATGAAACTATCTGAGAAATTCTCCAACCATACCTATTTGATACTTCAAAAATTATATGCAATAGACTCTCATATCATTAAGTTACTCTGCAATTCAAAATCAGTATAGCTACTCTCAACAACTCTAATACTTAAACTATAATACACAACATGCTATAGGTTATCCAAAAAATTTTTAACATACCTGAAAGAGGTTTGCTAAACTCTACTGATTGTGGATTTGTCTAATTTTATTGTTTAGTTTTGTCAAACTTTGCTTTATAGATTTTTAAATTATATTACTAGGTATATGCCCATTTAGGATTGTTTTACCTTCTGGTGGAATTGACTTGTAATCATGACAAAGTACTCTTTTTCTCTAGTAATATTTCTTGCCTTAACATCTAATTTGTTTAATATTAAGTGATCTACAAAAACATATTAGGGGCCGGGCACAGTGCCTCATGCCTGTAATTCCAGCACTTTGGGAGGTCAAGGTGGGTGGATCACTTGAGGCTAAGAGTTCCAGACCAGCCTGGCCCCCTCTCTATTAAAAAGACAAAAAAAGAACTTAGCTGGTAGTGGAGGCACATGTCTACAATCCCATCTGTTCTGGAGGCTGAGGCACAAGAATCATTTGAATCCTGGTGGTGGCGGTTGCAGTGAGCTGAGATCACACCATTGTTCTCTATCCTGGGTGACAAAAAACAAACAAACAAACAAACAAACAAAAAAACTATTAGGACTACTATTTTCATAACATGTATTTCTCCATATTTTTACATTTAATCCATTCAGCCAAACTCTGCCTTTTAATTGAAAATTATAATCCATTTCCATTTAATGTATTAATATGTAACTTGTACCTTTTTGTTATTTGTATTCCAAATGTCTTATATGTTTTTTGTTCTTCAGCCTTCCCTCTATTACCTTTTTTGTGTTAGAAATACATTTTCTAGCATATAATTTTAATTTCTGTCATTTCTTTTAGCATATATGTTATATATACATTATATACATGTATATGTGTATATATGTATATATATGTGTATATATATGTGTGTATATATATGTCATTCAGCACAAATGACTACATTTAGCATTTCCTGTTGAGAAGTTTTGCTAGAGCTGGACTCTTTCTTTGTTGATCTGTTAATGTTTTAATTTCTTTTCACCTTAAAAATTTAGATTTTCAGGATATAGAATCATTGATTAACAGTTTTTTTTTCTATTATACAAATTAGATATGTCATTGACTGCCTTCTGGCCTCCAGGCTTTCCGAAGAGACTCAGCTGTTAATCTAATTAAGGATCTCATGTATGTGACAAATTACTTCTCTTTAGTTTCAAGAGTTGTTCTGTCGTAGTAGGGATTTCTGAGTTTATTCTATTGGGTTATATTGAGCCTCATTATGTGTAGATTAATATTCTTTGTCAAATTTGGAATTTTTAAGTCGTTATTTTGTCAGATCTTCCTTTGCCACTTGCTATTCTTATTCTTCTTGGACTCCCATTATTCATATGTTTGTACATTTGATTTGTTTTCAAAGCTTCCTCACATGAATAATCTCAACTGACCTATTTTTAAGTTCACTACTCTCTCTTCTGATGTTCGAATCTGCTTTTGAATCCTTCTAGTAAACTTTTTAAAGTTATTTTATTATTAAGTGCAAAATTTCTGTTTAGCTTCATCTTGTGTATTTTTTTTTCTATTTGTTGAGACACTGTTACTATGGTTTTGTTTAGTTCTTTGGATACGACTTCCTTCAGCTCTTTTAACATATTTAAATAGCTGGTTTAAATTCTTTTCTAGTAAGTCCAACCTGCGACTTCCTCAGGGATAGCTATTGTTAATTGAATTTTTCTACTGAATGGGTATACACTCTTGTTTCTTTGTATGCCTCTTAAGTTTCTGTTAAATATTTGATATTTTAAATATAATAATATGCAAAATCTGGAAACCAACTGCTCCCTTTTCCCCAGGGTTTGCTGTTTTTACCCTGTTGTATTTGTTGTTTCTTTGGTGAAATTTGCAAACTAACTTCATGAAGTTTATACTCTTAATCCTGGGTCTGCTAAAATCTGTTCCATTTGTCCATTAGTCAGCTAATTATTAGACAGTGTTTTAAAAACAATTTATTTAACAAAAAATAGTCTCCCACTGTTTGAAAAGGAGTTCTGTATGTTGCATACCCTCAACATTTGTTCAGGAAGTTTTCAACTCTATCTTAGCTTTTACTTACTGTTTGCAGAGAATCTAAAGGTTAGCCAAAGGTGAGAGTTTAGAGCCCTGCCATGTCTTTTCTCATAATGCACATAACCCAGGGTATGCATGTGGTCTTATACTTTCTCGGGAATATACTGGGTCATTTTAAGCTCTTATTCCCTAAAGCATCTTATTCCCCAGCATTTTATCCTAAGCATTTTGGTTAGTCTACTGTTTGCTTCAGTTGTTATCCCCTGCTTCAGGAAGCAGAGACTAGAACATATAGCTGTAAATATTTTCAACAACGCTTTCTGGGATTTCGCTTTTGCCATAAACAAGTTTCCAGTCAGATAAGATAAAGAAACATATTCTGAATAGTTTTTTTTAGGAAGTAACCAAAGAATTCCATGTGAATGAGGTCCATTCTGTCCACTCAGGTACTGGCAACTAGAATGAAGGACGTTAGTTTCAAGGCTGTTGCTGAGCTAGGAAGCAGAGGAAGGGACTAGGATGAGTTAAGGCACCACAATAATTATACTTCTTACCAAGAATATGTTGTTTTGTCAATTTAACACTTCCCACGTTGATGCAAGATATTGGCTAGATGCCAGAGCTCAAAAAAATTAGATACAGAGTATTTTTGACAACATTTTTCATTGTTTTATGGAAGGGTTGAATTCTGAATTTTCTTACTCTGTTGTATTTTCCCCTAGCTCTATTGTGTATAAAATTCTAACTTGGCAGTTTTTGTTTTGTTTTTTTTCTTTCAGCAATTTTATTGTGTAACTCCATTTTTTTTTTTTTTTTTTTTTTTTTTTTTACTTTTTCTACTTCAGTATTTTTCATTTTGGAAAGTCAAAATTTTATCTTATTTTTTCTGCTTTAAACATAATGTGTATTTTCCTTCTGAACATTTTAAAGATCTATTTGATCTATTTATTTATTCATTCATATATTTAAATATTTTTAGGATACTGATTGAGTTTGTAGCACGTACCTCTTGAACCTTAGTTTTCTTAGTTAGTTATGAAATATTTTCAAAACTGCTCCATTATTTTCAATTATTCTTCTGACCCATCTCTATGTTCTTCTCCATCTCAAATTCACAAGTTATAGGTATGTAGGGTCTTTTTATTATCTTTTATTTTACTTATCAGTATGTTCCTTGTTTTTGTTGTTATTGTTTTTTAAATTTTTGACTTTGTGTGAATATTTTTGTACTGATTTATCTTTCACTAATTATTTATTCAGCTCTGACCATACAGGAGTTAATTATTAGGTTTAGTGTTTCAATTTCGAATTTTCACTTGGTATTAATTTGTGTTCTAAAATATTGTGCTGAAATTCTCCATGTTCTCTATAAGTCCTTAAAATATTAATTATAACTATTTTGAAGTATTTTTTATAGCCAGGAACTATTACACAGCTCTGATTTTTTTCAATTTTAGTTATATTTTGTTGTTTCTAATACTAGTCGTCTCTCTTTTTCCTTGTATTTTTCTTATTAAATTTTGGAAGTTAACTAAAATATATATATATATATATATTTGCTTTTAGCATTATGTGCAATGCTGCAAAATCTTTATAGATATTATGTTTTTGCTTCCAAATTGTAGGTAGTTTAAGTGCATTAGAAGTACCAAGTGAACTTAATATGTAACAGAATAAAGGAACTCAAAACCAAACTTTAGTCCTTTGATGGATAATCTACTTTCCACTTAGATTTGCCTCTGCATCCCAACAAAATTCTGAGTTGTGACCCAAGTTTTTTCTTCTAGTTGGAGTCTGAATTTGCTGCTGTGCTTCACAGCCCCATGAGTCTGTCAAAATCACTACTTAGTTCCTTAACCTTTCCACTTCCATTTTGACCTTTGGGGGAAAAGTGAGGGAAAATGACCAATGCTGATATTTTCTACAACTCCATTTTGAACATTTTTTTTTTTAGAAATGCTAAATTATTCTCAGTGAAATATTTATCTGAAACTAGCTGATTTAAAATTCTGGATGGAGAATATCTTTTATTTATGGAATTTGAGGATATATTGCATAACTCATATTATTCATAATAAGTACATTTTTATTTTACAATCTATACTTCATTTTGCATTTTACAATATATACTTCACTTTGTTGTGTTACTTAATGCATTTTGCCCTGAATTCATCTTCATATTATATTAATAAATTGTAACTCTGATTTTGCAGTTATTCTTATCCTAGTGTACTTTCACCCATTAAAAAAAGTTTAATATCTTCAATCGTTTGTTTTTGATGTAAAATGTACATAAAGAATACAGTTTGGTTATGTCATATAATCTAATTTTAGGCTTTTAAAAATATTTCTAACTGAACTAGTGCAATTACATTTATTTCTAAAAAATTGTAATGTCTTATACTCTATTACTAGTTTTGTTATATTACTTCTTTTTTATTTTAATTCTGTGTTTCTGTTACTGCTAATATTTGGAATATTTGTGAATGGTCTTAATTTAATCACTATGTTATCATTTTTTATCACTGTAATTTGGGGAGAATTATCTAATTTTTGTGCCCAAGATTTGTTATCTATAAAATTATTGTAGTAATGATACCTAACCAAGATTATGGTGAAGATTTAATGTATGGATTAACAAAACACATTAAATTAATATCAACAAAAGTCTAAGTTTTTAATAATGGTCTCTTTGTTGAGAACATTTTTCCAAAGAACTATGCTGTGTTTCCTTATGTTGTGTCAAAACATCTTTTATTTTTGGAAAGATTTCTCAGATCATGTATTAGATTTTTTTAGAAATGTGTTGTTTCCTTGGAAAATTAGTTATGTTTAGATGAGTCATTTTTGGTATAGCTCTCACTTTCTCCTAAATTTTTTCAAAGAATCTTTTTTTTTTTCAATTGTACTTCATTTTGCCCACATTTCTAAATATTGGCCCCTATTACTTTTACTATCTTTTTATCCATAGTATTTCTATATATACTGATTCCAATAAAGTCATTAACTCTCTGATGTTTTGACTATGCGATTTCATTTACTCCTTAAATGATTTTTAACCATCTATTTGGTTGTTAATTTCCAGTGCAATTTTGAGGCTATTGTGCAATCTTTGGTTTTATCTTTACTTTATTTATTTATTTTTTTAGTTCATGGTTATATGGGTTCATGGCTTCCTATCTGTCATTTTGCCCTAGTCCTTTCTTTTCCTTTTCTTTTTTTTTTCTTGAACTCTTTTTTTTGTAGAGATTCTGTGCTGGTTTCTGTTGAATAAAACTTATCTTTCAATCATGTGTGTATTTTTAATCTGTTCTTGTGTAAAGGGATTAGAGCAATGCTGTGGAGTAGCAAAAATTCTCACTGATTCAAATCAACACTCTTTTTGATGTGAGTAAGTTTATGTGTGTAATTTATTGTGGTATTTACTCTTTCTAGTTGACAGTGTTTAACTGCTGAGTCTATTCGTAATTTTCTTTTCAACCAGTATCATCAAGTAATGGCTTTCTATAAAGTAGCATGGTTGGGTATCTCTATCATTCCTTGGTGTAGTATCCCCCTACTATTTTTTACAAAATGAATTTAGGGAATTTCTTGGAGACAACACATAAAATCCACATCGGCTATTGCAAAGGAGAAATTCTTGGGGAAAAAAAGGATCTTCTGACTTTGAGCCCCAGTGCAAGAGAATATTCACTCCAATAGAAGCTATTCTTTGGACCATCTGTGAAGTACCTTGCTTAACCCTCTCCAATAGAAAAAAAAAATTCTAGAGAAATACATAGGGTAGAAATTGAAAGATGTTTCTCAATATCAACACAGCATTTATAAGTCCAACAAATGAGAGAGGTATAAAAGATAGAAGATTTACACAAATAAAATGTGTTGTCAAATATTATTTGAAAAATTTCTCCAAGTGACATTTTGATACAAAAAGGTAATTTTGAAGAAAAGATTTTGGAGATTAAATTTTTATTAATATGAAAAGCTGTTATGAATTGTGGGGTAAAGGTTAAAGGCCCTGAGTAGATTAAAAAAAAAAGACTAAAGCTTAAAAAAAAGGCATTGAAAAAGTCTCTGTGATGGCAGTAATCTAGAGCGATGTTAAGATTAATTACATATGTTATTTAGCTTTCTTATTTGTGGAACTTTGCATAACATCCCGTTTGTTACTCAGAATTTTAGTAAAATTTTGCAACATACATATGCATTCGATCAATGTTTTTTTAGGAAACTAATGAGGAAAAGTATCTCCACACTCTGCCTTGAATTATTTGGATAAATAACAACTGAAAAGGGGAAATAAAAGCTAGAATCAGGCAGCAATGAAAAGGCACTCGGGTAATAGATTGACTGAAAAGTAAGATAAATGTATTTGCTTTAGAGAAGGTCTACATGGACCTACTAACTTAGATTGAAATTTGAGCCACTTCTATTTACATATAAGAATAAATGTTTCTTCACAAACCTGGAGAAGTTGAAAACCTATAGTCATCAATATTACACTTGGGCTTGAGGTCGGCAAGATTTTTCAAACAGATTAATCAGTCTCATTTATGAGTAAGTTAAATTTTGTAACAACAAGAAATGAAATCCATGCATGAGGAATAAAACTCCATTGAGCTGGATGTCATTGGATAAATGAAAAACAACAGGCTTCTCAAACATTTATTGTATGGTGAGCTGAAGAAGTAAAATAAAAGCAGCTTGGAAAGAAGTATAAATTTAAGCATATAGAAAAGTACAATTCCACACAATACAGTAAATTTGTGGGCTGCTGGGAAATAGTTGCAACAGTTAATCTTAAAATAAAGCAATAAATAAATAGGTTATTTTTTAAGCTAAGCTGTTGAAAGTATCATATGTATCAGAGACATTCCTCCAAATAGCAATAGACTTAGCAGTTTTATTCTTAAAATAAAACCAATCATATTCTGTATTTAATTTATTAATTCAAGACTCACCTATGGTTCTACTGTGAAGGAAAATAATATGTTAAGATTAAGAAATAAGATGTATTATATATTAAAGGAAGCAAAAATCTTACAAAGAAGTTTAAGAATAGTCAATTCATATAAAATAAAGAATTTAGGAGTTTCATCTATTAATTGCAGTTTGGACTCAAATATTCTTGGTCATATTGTAATGCAAGCCAAAGTGTACTTTAGCTGGCAGTGGGAGTCAATGTGAGTGGCCATGTTTTTATTTGTTTGCTGATTGTTCTTTTCATTTTCCTTCATTGTTATTATTGTTTTTAAATCATTTGGCTAAGGCTGTTAGTGGAACATTTGGTTTGGAGGGCATATTTGCATCTATTGACACCAGTGATTATTAATACAATAATATCTTAACATGAGTGAGACTGTCAAATATACATAAATATTATTGTTGTTTGAAATGTTTGAGTTTCAGCCTAATTAAAAACGATTAGAAGATAACCAGTTTTACCATCTGCTTATCAGTACTGAGTTGACCACGATGACTTACAGAGCAAGTTATCTGAAGCCACTCAGTGTTTTCTAATTACTGTATTCTAAGTTAAGGGAACATCAATAATTTTTGTATATTAATGCTGCATTATTTTGAATGTTTTAGTTTATAATCCTATATGTATTAAAATTTCTGAAAAATGTAATGCATCAAATACTCATTTTTATGAAATGAAAAAAATTAAAGTTGATATTGGTTTTAGGTATTTATTTTAAAACTAATGCACAGACTTTATAGAGTAGTTTTCTTTTTTCTTTTTTTTTTTTTTTGGTTGCTAAGTAACCCCACAGTATGAAAAGCTAGGGAGTATTCCCATAACTTACTTTATGTATTATAGTTTGAGGATTTTAATAATCCATTGTTGTCTATTAGGTGCAATCTGCTGCATCCTGTTATTGCTGTGTGCCCTCTGAGCAGTAATTCTATTATATTTTCTTTAAATATCTGTGAGATTGATCATTACTGACTATACATCTTTTCAGGATGCTGTCTATGGCTAGAGCTAAAGTATTTCAACACTGTTCTTTATATTAGAAACAATAAACAAGGGCAAATATGTATCATATATGTTACTATATTTGGCATGGGCACTTATAATTTATTTTCAATGTGCAAAAATAATCAAAAATTCCAAATAAATTTCAACAATATTTAAAAAATAAAATTCAACTATTTGTATTATCTATTAATCTCCAATACATATTTAACCATTATAGTATTTTGCTCCACATGTGTGTATGCACGTATTTGTACATTATATATGTATGAAATTATAAATGTATTCAAGGAAGTTAAAAATAAATGTACACATTTATTTACATAGTGGAGAATTCAGGCAAAACAACATCTAATATGAAAATATAATTCAAATCCCAAATTCCAAGAATCCTAAATGCTTTCAAAAGACTAATTTAGCACAGTAAATATATAGCAAGCTGCTAAGTAGAAATACATATTAAGACTGAAGCTTAGGAAACGCTAAGAAATGCTGCAATAAAATAAAATCTTAAATTTCAGCAGCTTGACACAGCAAATTTTACTTCTCCACCATACAACATACACAGAGCAGAGCAACAGAGTCCCCACAATTGTGCATGTTCATATTTATGTGATGTCCAGGCTACAGACACAAAAAGAATAATGATCCAATCAGTTATCACACACGTAAATATTAAGTTATATACCTTATGCTTGTAACTCCTGCCATAATGCCTATGCAAGAATAGAATATCTAATATGATTGAGAAAAAAAACTGGGTAAGCAATATTTATTCTACATGAAACCCACTTTGTGTTAGGTATTCTTTAAGAGGATACTCTAACCTATGCAGTGGCATTAGGCAATTTCAACACCTCAGTGGCTAAACACAGTACCATTTTCTTATTCATTCTTTACTTCATGAGAGAGTGCTGCGGCTATGTTACTATAATAGTCACTCAAGGACTAGATTTATCTAAATATGTTTCCATGAATGCTGAAGTACAAAAGGAATTAATAAAATTGCATGCTGTTTCTTAAACTTTTTTTTCCATATGTTATCATGGTATGTGCTCTCAGTTATTTGGCTGAAATAAGTAACATGGCCGTTGCCTAACAGTGTCCAAAGAAAGAGAACACCAAAAATATTGGGAAAGTGACAAAGACTTAAGTAAGAAAATGAAATGTCTCTAAATCATATATGTTTTAAAATACATTTTAATTTTTTTCAACTTTTATTATTCACATTACTATATGCCACTATGTGTGTGTATGTGTATACACATACCCATAGAAAATTAACATTTTGGAGTTAATGGTGAGTTATGGTATCAAATTTATCTGTATTCGCATTCATTTTTACTTACTCAGTATCATTTTAAGTAGGAATGTCTTCATTGATATATCTATAGTACATTTCACATCTATTCTCACCTGGGAATATTTCATAAGATTTGCCCTATGAAAAAAGCTGTTGTTGTTAGTGAAACACACAGAGCAACCCTGACAGTGATTGAGAAAAATCAATTTCATCAGAACTATGAAAACATAAGCAGAACTACAGAAAACATAAAATTGTTCTAAAGAAAAAGTGTTATTGATTTTTTTATCATGACACAAGCAAAATGTACAATTCTATATACCTTTTTCCATCTCATTCATTTTTATTCACTTTTTCTCACCAAGGAAAAACAAAACGTTTCAATCTATATTTATTTTATTGATATATTTTATTTTAAAATAGGTTGGATGATATATATTTCTTTGAGTTTTATACTATGTTTCATATGGATGATGTTATAACTCTTGATGTTTTAGGTTATTTTTAGGCTAGGTATAAATTGTTAATCAATCAAAGAGATTTAATAATTTATGAAGTCCCTCAATAATATTTAAAAATGTAAGGGAAAAAGACAAATACATAGTCTGAAATTTAGTCCATTGCTATCAATTAACTTATTAATGTTATCTTATAATATTAAATTAATGCACACAATTATTTGATACAATTGAATTCCAATTGTGCTAATAAAAAGAGTCACACATATAAATAAAGAAGTATTCCATTGTTCTGACAAGTTGCATTTAAACTACTGGCAAAGTAGGACTTTTAAAATACCCCGACATAACTGTCATTCAATACAGAGGTCCATGAGGTTTTTTTTTTTTTAATCCACGAGTAACAGTAAGAATCAGTGATGTAAAATATTTTGTGTGGCTAATAACAAAGTTTTCTTTTTCACTACTAAATTCAGAGAGACACTAAATAGCAAATTCATTTAAAAATGTATACTGTATGCCTAAAATACAGCAGCTCTGCAAAAGACACTGGAAAGTTGGGGAAAAGCAGAAGATATTCAATTAACCAGTACTTTCATAGCTTAAATCCCCTTGAGAAAACAATAAAGAATATTTTACTGGAGGATATAACTTAGCATCTCATCTACTGAATTTGCACGTTTTCAATATAATCAATTTTATTTCAGATAAAATAAAGTTTAAAGTATATGTGAAAAAGACAAAATTTTAATTGTCAAATATATTGTCATAAATCCTAATTTATTGACAAATATTAAAAATGACATATAGCATCTTTGAAAAAATACAGAATTTGAAATCATTACGCTAAGGAGGCAATGACTAAATGTTGGTTTCTTGAAAGCACAATAATTTAATAATAAGGCAATATTATAAAAAATGCTTGATATTTTTTGACCAAATAACAGATTTAGATATCAAGATCTTATATTGAAATGAGAACTATTTTAAAAAGAAATCACTGAACAAAGGTATATACCTGTATATTGATATAACTTTTTCTTAAACCTTTCTAAAGGAACTTTTTGGAAGGCACCAGAAGTAAAATAGCTAAGAGGAAAGAGAATAAACGAAGAATCAATATATGGAGAACTAACTGGGGAGAACTTTTGACATATGTATGAATTTTTGCCTTATATTGCAGAGGCGGTTTTTAAATTTAAATTATAACTTAAGACTTCTGTTTCTAATTCCAGATGTACATTTAAGTTTTGCAATCACTCCTTAACATGTGATTTATGTAATCATCATCTGATTACATAATTTATGTTACATGAAATGCTTTAAATCATGAAAAAAAAACACTATGAGAGAAGATTTTTGTATCTCCCATACAAAAAAAAATATTTAGCATTTTCATCAAACTATGAGGAGAAAATGTTTTGAATTATATTAGAATATCTAATGCTCAATTATTTGATGCTTTTTGGAGGTATAATTTGTTTATTATATTGCAGATACCTTGTTTGATAGGGGTTTATTTCACATCCTGAGTTCTAGATAGTAACCGTCATAATAAAATAAACACAACCCGTCTGTATATGTGTATGGGTATTATTTAATTTCTTTCATCAGCATTTTGTAATTTTTATCATTAATCTCCTTTACATGTTTTGTTAGACATGTACCTTAATATCTCATTTTGTTGGGAGTAATGGCAATTGTTATATTTTGGTACTAGCTTCTAGATGCTTGTAAGTATGTGAAGATGCAAATAATTCTTCTGTGCAGCCTTACTGAAATAATTATTACTTCCAGTAGTTTTTTCGTATAAGGCTTGGGAATTTCTATATGTGTAATTATGCCATCTGCAGAGATGGTTCTATTTATTTGTTTTCAATTTGTATACATATTTTTCTTGCTTTATTGAAATGGCTAGACTCTATATTACATACTACGTTGACCTTGAATGATGAAAGCAGATGTCCTTTTCCTGTTTTTGACCTTAGAGAAAAGCATTTATTTTTTACTACTAAGTATGGTAATAATTGTAGGTTTTTCTGAAAAGGTTTTTCATGAAGTTAAGGAAGTTTCGCTGTATTTCTAGTGTACTGAGACTTATCAGCATGTTGAATTTTGCCAAATGCTTATTTTTGTGCCAATTGGTAAGATTATATGATTTTTCTTCTTTCATCTATTTCTATAGTGAATTATGTTGACTGATTTTTTAAAAAAATACTGATCCAGCCATTCATATCCAGAATATGTCTCCCTTAGTTATGGTGTATTATTTGCATTTATGCTTTGTTGAATTCAATTTTGAAGTTTTTTGAGTAATTTCATGAGAGACATTAGTACATGGTTTTCCTCTTTTTTTTTTTTTTTTTGGTACTCTGGTTTTATAAGAGCAGGACTGTAATGTAATAATGGCCTCAAAAAATTAGTTGAGAAGTGTCTCCTCCTACTCTCTTATCTAGGAAAAAATGTATTAAATTGCTGCAAAATTTTCTTTGAATGTGTGGTAAAATTATCCTGTGAAACCATTTTTATCCACAAGTAACAGCAAGAATCAATGATGTAAGATATTTTGTGTGGCTAACAACAAAGTTTTAGTTTTCACTACTACATTCAGAGAGACGCTTACTAGCAAATTCATTTACAACTTACAGCGTATGCCTAACATACAGCACCTCTGCAAAAGACACTAGAAAGCTAGGAAAAAGCAGAAAATATTCAATTAACCAGTACTTTCAGAGCTTAAATCTCAGTGAGAAAACAATAAAGTATATTTTACTAGAGTATATAACTTATCATCTCAACTACTAAATTTGCAGGACGCTTCTTTTTTGGGAGAAATTTAAAGTTATGATTTCAATGTCTTTAACGGAGGAGAATTTATGTACTTCATTTTGCCAGGGTTGTGGTAGTTTGAGGGTTTTGAGAAATTGGTGTATATCTTCTAAGTTGACAAATTTAGGAGGATAAAAATTTTCGTATCATTTCCTTATATATGTTTTTAATTTTTTCTTTGTTTCTTTCGGGAGAGGGATCTCACTCTGTCATACATACTGGAGTGCAGTGATGGATTCATAGCTCACTGCAGCTTTGAACTCCTAGACTCAAGCAATCCTCCCACCTTAGCCTTCCTAGTAGCTGAGACTGCAGTTATGTACCACCATGCACAACTAATTTTTTAAAAAGTGTAGAAATGGGCCGAGCGCGGTGACTCACTCCTGTAATCCCAGCTCTTTGAGAGACCGAGGTGGGCGAATCACGAGGTCAGGAGATCGAGACCATCCTGGCTAACATGGTGAAACCCGTCTCTACTAAAAATGCAAAAAATTAGCTGGGCGTGGTGGCGGGCGCCTGTAGTCCCAGCTACTCCAGAGGCTGAGGCAGGAGAATGGCGTGAACCCGGGAGGCGGAGCTTGCAGTGAGCCCAGATAGCGCCACTGTACTCCAGCTGGCGACAGAGGGAGACTCCGTCTCAAAAAAAAAAAAAAAAAAAACACATAAAATGTAGAAATGGAAGTCTCACTATATTGCCCAGACTGGTCCTGAACTGCTGGACTCCCACCTTGGTGCCCCAAAATGGTGAAATTACAGGCATGAGCCATCATGCCCGGCCTTACATCATTTTAATAACCACAGAATCTGTTGTAATAAAGTGTTTCTCCTGATACCGGTGATTTCGTCTTCTTTCAGCTTTATCAGTCTCACTAGTTTATCAATTATAATATTTTTAAAAGCCAGCTTCACATTTCATTAATGCTGTATCATTTTTCTCTTTCAATTCTATTTATTTCTGTTCATAACTTTCTTTCTGATTGCTTTAGGTTTGTTTTGTTTTTTAATTTTTTAGGTTCGTGGCAGGTGAGCTTAGATTATCGATTTGAGACATATCCTCTCCTCTTTTCTAATGTATGCATTTAATGCTCTCAGTTTTCCTCTTGACACTGCTTTCTCATCATCCCACGAATTTTGCTATGTGTTTCTTAAATTTTTATTAAGTTATGTGTATTTTAAATTTTCTTTTATAATTCATTTTGGCTCATGGATTGTTTATGAATATATTTGTATTAGTTTGTTTTCACGCTGCTGACAAATACATACCCGAAAATGGGAACAAAAAAAGGCTTAATTGAACTTACAGTTCCACATGGTTGGGGAGGCCTCAGAATCATGGCGGGAGGCAAAATGCTCTTCTTACATGGCAGCATCATGAGAAAATGAGGCAGAAGTGGAAACCCCTTATAAACCGATCAGATCTCGTGAGACTTACTCACTATTATGAGAATAGCACAGGAAAGACCAGCCCCCATGATTCAATTGCCTCTCCGCTGCGTCCGTCCCACAACACGTGGGGATTCTGGGAGACACAACTCAAATTGAGATTTTAGTGAGGACACAGCCGAACCGTATCAATATTTAACTTAAATTTTGAATATTTATCTTTTGCACTTACGTATTATTAATATCTAGTTTCACTGTGTTACTGTCGGTGAACATATTCTATATGATTTTAATTTTTTAAGTATGTTAAAATTTGTTTTATGACCCAGGATTTGGTCTGTCTTCCTCAATATTCCATGGACACTTGAAGAGAATGTGTTTTTTTTTATTTAAGGATAAAGTATTGTATAATGTCAATTAGCTCCTATTGTCTGGAAATATTCACTTCTATGTCCCTATCGACTTTCTATCTAATACTGCTCTCCATTGCTTAGAGTGGGCTGTTGAAGTCCTCAACAATTAATGTGGTATTATCTTACATTAAGTATATCAGTTTTTGTTTCATGTATATTGTAGTTCTGTTATTTGATGCATACATATTGGGTATTGCTATATATTCTTGGTATATTGATCTTTTTATTATCATATAATGTCCCTCTTGATCGTTAGTAATTTTGGTACAACATCTTTTTTATCTGACATTAATATAGCTGCTCTTGTTCTTTTTAAATTGCATTTGCATTGCATAACATTTCCATCCTTTGATTTCCAAGCAGCATATGTTGCTATGTTTGAAGTAAATTTCTTGTATACAAAATATAGTTTATTGTGTGTGTATATTTTAATCTTCCTTGCCAATTTCGGTCTTGACTGATAGACAAGACAGCTTGATTGATAGACAAGACAAAATATGTCCTCTGTATACATTGAGCACCACATCTGATAGTGTTGTAACTTTTGCTTCTACTATAAAATATAACTAAATAATCTCATAAGGTAAAATACACTACATTATGTTAACTGTATTTTCAACCATACTATTGATGTACATTCCAATCTGAAGATCCTGGACTTATTCTGTCATTATTTTCTTTCTGTTGTGAAAACTTCTTTTAGGAATTACTCACAGTTTCATCTGCTAGCCAAAAAAAAAAAAAAAAAAAGGATTTGAGCGGTCTTTTGACTGAGACTAAGTCTATTCTGCCTTAGATTTTTGAGGAATAGTTTTGGGTTTAATTGTTTGTTTTTCCTTCATCAATTGAAATATGCTGTGCCACTTTCTTCTGGTCTCCATGGTTTCACATATAAATCTGCTGTTATCCTTATTAGTGTTTATCATCAATGCTGCTTATAAAGATTTCTTGGCTGCTTTTAAGAATTTTTTATTTGTCTTTGGATTTTCAAAGTTTAATTATAAATTCCCTTGGTGTGAAATTTTTTGAGTTTATCCTATTTGAGATTTACTCAGCTTCTCAAATCTCTAGATTTTACTTTTTGGCCATATTTATATAATTTTTCAAACATTGTTTTTTCAGAAAACTCCTCATTTCCATGCACTCTTCCTTCTGTCTTTCTAGATATCCCATAATACAAATGTTATATATGTTGTTATTGCCTCACAGATCCATGAGAATCATTCATTGCTTTTTTATTCCATTTTATCTCTGTTGTTCGAATTGAGTAAATTTTATTGATTCGTCATGAAGCTCACTCGTGCTATCTTCTGTCATCTCTATCTGTTACTGCGTCCATCCAATAAGTTTTTTACTCTTCTCAAGGGCAAAACAAAGAACAACAGTAATACATATACAGTTTCTTTCACCATTGATCATGACAGAAATAGCTGAGCAGGTTATTTTCTTGCTTTGAGATATTCTCTCAGAAAAAGCATAATGAAGCTATTTACTTTTATTATTGCTTATTTATGCACTCACTTTCTTTCCCAAATTTGTCTTTTCTTTCTCCATATGTCAGGTACTATATTCTGGACTTTGACCTCTTCAGGTTGGACTTTTTGTTTCACTCACATTACCTGCTCTTAGGGAAGAGCACAAATAGACTTGCCAGGACCTTCATTTTTATCATTTTCTGGAAGAAGTCAGGTTAAAAGAGGAAAGAACAATGATAATATTTATATAGTTAGTCAGTGGGGTAGCTATTATAATCAGTCCTATTTTAAACACATGAAATAAATTTCTGATCAAGTCTATTAATTCTGGAAATCTTCCCCAGCAAATTCAGAGGAAGTAAAATTGTGTACTAAGCAGGGATGTCTTCCTCTGCCCAGATATGGAACTATAATCTTTACCTTGACATGACTTTCTGATAAAGTAAAGGATATATTATATGTGTTAGAAAACACCATTATGTGTGATGGCATGATTTCCAACACTCAATTCAGACACCTTTTCCAAAGTGTTCTCACTTTACAATCATTCATACTCAGATGGCATACATGTATAGATATAAGTACAAGTATACATTAAGCAAGACAGTCAATAATGTTCTTTTCACTTCCTTTCCCCATTTAAATTACCAAATGTTTTATTTTATAATTTTTTGTTATGAACCTGACTCAACCGACAACTTTTAAGTTATAAAGGATAACATACGTTCAAAATATGGTACGCGTTTTAGCCAATTTATGTCATTGCCATTATCAAATGCATACTCTGGTTCATTAGAGGAATAAACTGCCAATCAATTTGTAATTGAAGTAAGTTAACACACTTTTCAAGGTGAATATTCATCTTACCACTCATGTCCATTTCGAATCTCAAAGATGATGATTAACGTTCTTTTGTTGACTCAGGCCTTTGATCTCAGGAATTCTTATTCAATGCCAACTTTTCCTGTTTGCTTTCTATGCATCTTATCAAACTAATAGGATCAGCAGGAAACAGATTAACATTTTGCCATTTTTGCCAATATTGACTAATTCAAGCATTTCAGTATTGTCTTGTTTTACATACATATAAGAAAAGAGGATGTCAGTCCTTAATTTCTAGTCTTCTTTAAAGTAAACAGTTTCCCTCCATTATGCATTAGTGAGTGATTATATAGTGCCACAATAACTTCACCTCAGAATTCCCACTGAGATTCCCATAATTCACTATTCTTATTGTAGTGTTCTTGATTGTCTAATTAATTAGGTACAATTACCTTTTCCCTGTTGAAAAGTCATTTGCCAAACTCATGAGACTATAAATATTCAATCAAAACTCTTGGAACAAGAACCCAATGATTGTACTATTAGATATACTGCTTTTAGTTATTCTCATTATGGAGATTTACCCTTGCCTTATTCAACTAAGTTTTTACTATCCATGTGAATACAGGAGTAGAATTCCAAACTGGATTGCCTCCATATGCAGATTTTTTTTTTTTTTTTGTAGTAAGTGAGGTACCTTGCTGTCCATTCAGCATGAGGAGCATTCAATTCTTCAGAAGTCCTATCATCAGCCCAAATGGTAGAACCAGAACTTTTTCATGGAATTGTTTCTGCAAAGCCCATCATCAGACCTGCTTCTACATTTGAGGTATCTTTGTGTGTGTGTGTGTGTGTGTGTGTGTGCACTCTACTGAGGTACACAATCCTTATTGGAACTTCTCTCTATTCTTACCAGGGTATATAGGTATTTCGAGTTTAAAATTATTTAAGTGCTATTTCCACAAAATGCTAGCAATGTTTCAGTGATTTGCACTATAAAAGATTATATGATAGCCACTGTGTTAGGTAAATTTTAAGTCCAAAATTCCAGTGGTTACCATAGGGTAGTTTTAAAAATCTGCTATAGACTCCAACTCAGAATACTTTTATGTACAGGCTATTTCCAAAATGTGTGTTTGGATCACACTGCTCAAATTATATATTAATAGTAAATTAACAATAAATAGTTTAGGCCCCTCCTATCAACTTCTCTCAAAGCCAGTGATTCTCTAAACTCTGTTCTCATTCAGGTGCCTCTTTGAACACTTGAAGAGAAAGTATTTCACCATATACAAACATCAATTCAGGATGGATTAAAGACTTAATATAAAACCTAAAATTACAAAAACCCTAGAAGAAAATTTAGGAAATATGATTCTAGCCACTAGCCCAGGCAAAGGCTTCATGACAAGGATTCCAAAAGCAATTGCAACAAAAACAAAAATTGACAAGTGGGACCTAATGAAAGAGCTTCCACACAGAAAAAGAAACTATCAATGGAGTAAACAGACAACCTACATAATGGGAAAAAATGTTTGCAACTATGTATCTGACAAAGGTCTAATATCCAGAATCTAAAAGCAGAAAAACACATAGCCAATAAGCATATAAAAATATTCAATATCACTAATCATTAGGGACATGTAAATTAAAACCATCATGAGATATCATCTCACAGAAGTCGGAATGGCTATTATAAAAGAGACAAAAAATAACCTGCTGGTGAGGGTGCAGAGAAAAGAGAAAACTTATACAATACTGGTAGGAATATAAATTAGTTCAGCCACTTTGATCTGATTTCTCGAGAAACTTAAAATACAACTTAAAAGAGTACTATCATTTGACTCTGCAATCCCATTACTGAGTATATACTCAAAGGAATGTAAATGGTTCTACCATAAAACCACATGGATGTGTATGCTCATTGCAGCACTATTCCCAATAGCAAAGACATAGAATCAACTTAGATGCCCATCGATGATGGACTATATAACGAAAATAACATTCATCATATTGTTCATAGGTGAAATTTCTAAGCAGCAAAGCATTCAAGAGGTGACTTAGGTGCTTTTAAAGGCGTTCGGTTTTAAAAGGGAAACAGGGCATAAAATTTGGAAAACTTCTTGCCTGACAATCCAATAGAAAAGAAAATCCCATTGTCTGAGAAAAAATTCAAGCCTGCTGCAGAAATTTGCAAAAGAGTCGGATGTTAATCACCCAGACAACAGGGAAAATGTCTCCAGGGCATGTCAGAAACCTTTGCAGCAGCCCCTCCCATCACATGCCTGGAGGCCTAGGAGAAAAAAGTGGTTTCCTGGGCCAGGCCCAGGGTCCCCATGCCCTGTGCAGCCTAGGAACTTGGTGCCCTGCATCCCAGCTGTTCCAGCTGTGGCTAAAAGGAGACAACACAGAGCTCAAGCTTTGGCTTCAGAAGGTGCAAGCTTCAAGCCTTGGCAGGTTCCACATTATGTTGCGTCCCTAGTTGCACAAAAGTCAAGAATTGAGGTTTGGGAACCTCTGTCTAGATTTCAGAGGATGTATGGAAACACTTGGATGCCCAGGCAGATATGTGCTGAGGGGTGGGGGTCCTCATGGAGAACCTCAGCTAGGACAGTGCAGAAGGGAAATGTGGGGTGGGAGACCCCACACAGAGTCCCTACTGGGACACTGCCTAGTGGAGCTGTGAGAAGAGGGCCGCTGTCCTCCAGACTCCAGAATGGTAGATCCACAAACTGCTTGCACCATGCACCTGGAAAAGCCACAGACACTCAATGCCAGCTCGTGAAGGCAACTGAAAAACAAAAAAAAATGTACCCTGCAAAGTGGCAGCAGTGGAACTGCCCAAGACCATGGGAGCCCACCTCTTGCATCAGCATGACCTGGATGTGAGACATGGAGTCAAACAATATCATTTTGGAGCTTTAAGATTTGATTGCCTCTCTGGATTTTGCACTTGCATGGGGCCTATAGCCCCCTTTGTTTTGGTCAATTTCTCCCATATTGATTGGCTGTATTTACCCAATGCCCATAAGCCCATTGTATCTAGGAAATAACTAACTTGCTTTTGATTTTACAGACTCAAAAGTGAAAGGGACTTGCCTCATCTCTGATGAGACTTTCAAGAGTGGACTTTTGAGTTAATGGTGAAATGAGTTCAGACTTTGGGGAACTGTTTGGGAAGGCGTGATTGGTTTTGAAATGTGAAGACATGAGATTTGGGAGGGAACAGAGTTGGAATGATATGGTTTGACTCTGTATCCCCACCCAAATCTCATCTTGTAGCTCCTATAATTCCCATATGTTATGACAGGGAGCCGATGGGAGATGATTGAGTCATGGGGGCGGGTCTTTCCCATGCTGTTCTTGTGATAGTGAATGGGTCTCACAAGAGCTGATGGTTTTAAAAACGGGAGTTTCTCTGCACAAACTCTCTCTTTGCCTGCTGCCATCCATGTAAGATGTGACTTGTTCCCCCTTGCCTTCCACCATGATTGTGAAGCCTCTCCAGCCATATGGAACTGTAAGTCCATTAAACCTCTTCCTTTTGTAAGCAGCCCAGTCTCAGTTATGGCTTTATCAGCAGCGTGAAAATGGATGAATACATAGAATTTCCAAAAAAAACTTGTATGAATCGGTTTAAAAAAATAAAGACAAAAACTCCAGTATAAAAGCAGAAAATATGCAAATGATTTACAGGACTTTCATATGTCCTTTGTTCACACACACACACACACACACACACACACACACACCTGCCTACAGATTTGGCTACATTTTTTCTTTCTTTTTTTTTTTTCTTTTTATTATACTTTAACTTCTGGGAAACTTGCAGAATGTGCAGGTTTGTTACATAGGTATACACGTGCCATGGTTGTTTCTTGCACCCATCAACCTGTCATCTACGTTAGATATTTCTCCTAACGCCATCCATTCCCTAGTCCCCCACAGCCTGAGAGGCCCTGGTGTGTGATGTTCCCCTCCCTGTGTCCATGTGTTTTCACTGTTCATCTCCCACCATGAGTGCGAACAAGCGGTGTTAGGTTTTCTGTTCCTGTGTTAATTTGCTGAGAATGATGGTTTCCAGCTTCATCCATGTTTCTGAAAAGGACATGAATTCATCCTTTTTTATGGTTGCATAGTACTCCATGGTGTATATGTGCCACATTTTCTTTATCCACTCTATCATTGATGGACATTTGGGTTGGTTTCAAGTCTTTCCTATTGTGAACAGTGATGCAATAAACATACGTGTGCATGTGTCTCTATAGTAGAATGATTTATAATCTTTTGGTTATATACCCAGTAATGGGATTGCTGGATCAAATGGTACTTCTGGTTCTAGATCCTTGAGGAATTACCACACTGTCTTCCACAATGGTTGAAATAATTTACACTCCCATCAACAGTGAAAAAGCATTCCTATTTCTCCACATCTTCTCCAGCATCTGTTCTTTCCTGACTTTTTAATGATCGCCATTCCAACAGGCATGAGATGGTATCTCATTGTGGTTTTGATGTGCATTTCTCTAATGACCAGTGATGATGAGCTTTTTTTCATACGTTTTTTGGCCACATAAATGTCTTCTTTTGAAAAGTGTCTGTTCATGTCCTTTGCCCACTTTTGGATGGGGTTGTTTTTTTCTTGTAAATTTGTTTAAGTTCTTTGTAGGTTCTTGATATTAGCCCTTTGTCAGATGGATAGATTGCAAAAATTTTCTCCCATTCTGTAGGTTGCCTGTTCACTCTGCTGATAGTTTCTTTTGCTTTGCAGAAGCTCTTTAGTTTAATTAAATCCTATTTGTCAATTTGGGCTTTTGTTGCCATTGCTTTTGGTGTTTTAGTCATAAAGTATTTTGCCCAAGCCTATGTCCTGAATGGTATTGCCTAGATTTTCTTCTAGAGTTTTTACAGTTTTAGGTCTTATGTTTAAGTCTTTAATCCATCTTGAGTTGATTTTTGTATAACGTGTAAGGTTGGGGTCCAGTTTCAGTTTTCTGCATATGGCTAGCCAGTATTCCCAACACCATTTATTAACTAGGGAATCATTTCCCCATTGCTTTTTCTCTTGTCAGGTTTCTCAAAGATCAGATGGTTGTAGATGTGTGGCGTTATTTCTGAGGCCTCTGTTCTGTCCCATTGGTCTGTATATCTATTTTGGTACCAGTACCATGCTGTTTTGGTTACTGTAGCCTTGTAGTATAGTTTGAAATCAGGTAAAGTGATGTCTCCAGCTTTGTTCTTTTTGCTTAGGATTGTATTGGCTATACAGGCTCTTTTTTGGTTCCATATGAAATTTAAAGTACATTTTTTAAATGTTTTAAAAAAGAAAATAAAGAATGTATTTTCTTCTTTTTTTTTTTTTTTTTTGAGACAGGGTCTCACTTTGTTGCTCAGGCTGGAGTACAGTGGTTCAATCATAGCTCACTGTAGCTTCAACTTCTTAGGCTCAAGCAATCCTCCCACCTCAGTCTCCAGAGTAGCTGGGACTACAATTGTGCACCACCATGCCCAGTTTATTTTATTTACTTATTTTATTTTCTATAGAAACGTGGTCTCACTATGTTACCCAGGCTGGTCTCTAACTCCTAGACTGAAGGGATCCTCTTACCTTGGCCTCTCAAATGGGATTTACAGGTGTGAGCCACTGCACCTGATCCATAACATTAAAAAAAAAAATTAAGTAGTTTGTTTTTGGTTCAAACTCTTCAAAAGATTATTATTTAAAATAAGCTCTTACTAGTTATAACAACTTTTGGAATGTAATTTTCTGTCAAGATCCTTTATCCAACATCTGAAAAATTTCTCATGTTCTTATTAAAAAAGCAGCATAGTCTAGAAAAAAAAAGTTTTTACATAATATTGTGAAAGTTTAGAAGTTAAAATCCCATGATATAACTATACTTTCAGGATGTTTAACTTTTATACAGTGTCAAATGGGTCATGGCAGTCTTAGTCCTTAATTATTCTTATCATTCAAAAATATTGTCATTAAAGAACATATTTCAATAAATTAATTCATGAAGTGGTATAACAATGTTAATCCTAAAAATCATCACTGACATTTCACATGCAGGAAACTTACCATATGCCAGGGCTTTCAGTTGACTTGGTAATATTCTTCATGTTGAGTTTATATTATATGGTTTATTTATTATAAATGACATTTTATTGCATTCTGTGGGGACAAAAATGTTTAGAAGATTTACAGGTTTTGCTCAGGTATCCTTGTTCAAATCTTCCCATGAGTAATTTATTACCCGTGCATGCCATTGTTCTAATTACCAAGAGTTAAGTGTTCTTCCTGGAGAATGCTCTTTTCCACTAAATACAAATTTTAAAATTCTGAATACTTGCAAATACTTAACCAAAACCTATGGTTTCTGTTTTCTATGGAGTGAAAATAACTGCTTTCATTATAGAAGTTAAGTCATGTCAAAATTCAGCATATAAAATTTCATTTACTAACCAGAAGAAAAATGGAAACATGGAATAAATACATCAGAACCATCAGAAGACTCTTAGCTGTTTTACAAAGTCAGAGTTGCAGTTGCCTTTTTCATTCCTTTGCTAGGGTCAAAAATTAAAAAAAAAATAACCTATCAACCACTGAATTATTACTGTTTTTCTAATGAATTTGATTATTTAAAAGTGTATTATTACATTATTATTTGATAAACTAGCCCAAACCTAGGAGATGTTCAAAATATAAAAAGCAAGTTTCTCATTTTAAAATAAGTATTTTAGGTCAAATTACATAATACTTTCTAAAAAAATACTAATTCATGAAGTTAAGACCTGAACCACATGGTTCAAATGATGTATAAAATTAAAACTGAGAAAGAAGGAAAAGTGGCATCATTGTCGTAATAGAATGAGTCTCTAAGTGGAAAAAGGAATAGTATAAAATATATGTAAGTAAATTTTGAAAACTGGCAGCCAGGAGGCAGAACAGTTAGAAGTCATCCTACATATAAGTTTATTGTTGTTGTTTTTTTGTTTTGGATTTTATTTTCTTGGACAAGTGTTTAAAACAAATTTTAAAAAAGAAACAAAATACCTGAAAAATAGTTTAAGATAGGATTTACATTCTCTACTTTGCCATGGTATTCACCACAGCTTACTACGGAAGGAATGTCACAGTTGTGGTTCTCAAACTTGAACATGCATTAGTAGCACCTGAAATACTTGTTAGAACACAAATTACTGGGTCGCACACCTTGATTAACTCATCATTAAGTAGGTGGAGATGCACATGGATGAGGGCAGACTTCAGGGTGGGCAGTCAGATATTTGATGTTCTGCAATGTTCTCAGGTGCTACTAATGCTGCTAATCTAGAGACTGAACACCTTACTAGCTTCTGAAGGTGTTTGAATTGCAATTCCTTCTAAAGTAAATCAGCACACTCAGTAGCAGGAAGTGACAAGGGACTAACGTACTGCCAGAAGAAAGGACCCAATGACATAATTTAAAATTAATTAAATTATATATGTAATTTCATATTATATAGTTATATATGTTAATTACATGTAATATAATTATATATTAGTATTTATATAATTATAGAGTATATAAATTATATATGTTAAGAATAATTCAACATAATTTAATGACATACATTATTTAAGCCTTTTTAAAATTCGGTATTTTTTGTGTAATAATCATTCTATTCATCTATTTTCAAGCCTTTTATTGTTCATTTAAACACAGACTAGAATTTAAAGCTTAAATATAGATCCAAATATAGCTTAAAGATCTAAATGTGCATGTACACACACAAACACATTTTCAGAACAAAATAAAGGATATCATCTAAGACCAAGATAAAAATGAAATAATCAATTCATCATCAGAAAGCCATGAAGGGAACAGAATGTTTTAAGCTTACCATTTCTTTTACAAACAGTCTGATTCATTAACTGATTGTACCTTTGAAACACTGCATATCTGAAAGATATCTATTTTCGACTTACACAATCATTTAGAATACTATTTTGACAGCACATAAATACAAAGCATTATTTAAAAATATTCAATGTTTCTTAGAGTTTCAGGTTGCTAAATATCTGATTTTTATGATATTAACACATTTTTAATGTGTAGTATTTGAGATATTGGGGCATCTCAACAATATGAACTGCTGTAAGTTCTTCTGACAGACTCTATGCAATTAAGCATTTTGTACTATTTTTTAAATCATTTTTCATTTTATCATTTGCATTTTTCTAAGCAATTTGTTGATTATCGAGTTCAGAAAAAAAAACCATTCTGAGGAAATCTAGGTTGAAAATCAAGTGTTCAGCCTATGGAATGGATGTGTCTAGGTATGTTTGGAGTTGATTTTTTAAAAAATTAAGCACGTTTAACTTTTAAAGAGTTTATTTGAGCTTTCAGCAATTCATAAATCAGGGAAGCAACAGATTAAAAGGACCTAGCACTCTGCTGGAAGAAACCAAAGGAGAAACTTTTATAAAGCATTTGCAGAATCAAGACAAAGAAAACAATTTTGATTAGAGTGGAAAGTCCTTAGTTAGAGGTTTGTTGGTGGTTTCTAATTGGTGCAGTTTCTAGTTTCAATTTACTGTTTACATTAAGCTTTGGTTTGTTCATGTCATAATTTAAAGTGCCAGAGCCACCCTAGTCTAAGAGCTGGCCACTTCAATTTTTTTTTTTTAACAACTCTGCCTTCCCTACTTTTGGTTAGCTTCTCATTTATGAAACACTGACCAAGAACTTAAGCATAAGCATTACTCTCTGTCATAATTATGGTTGAGTTGTCTATATTTTTAGTGTGGAACTCATAAATAATGATGTCACGCCTTTTGAAGAAAGATTTCTTTAGTTGTTCATCAATTCTTTTTTTCTTTCTTTTTTTTTTTTCTGGAGACAGAGTCTCGCTCTGTTGCTCAGGCTGGAGTGCAGTGGCACAGTCTTGGCTCACTGCAATGTCCGCCTCCCAGGCTCAAGAGATTCTTGTGCCTCCGCCCCCTGAGTAGCTGGGATTACAGGCATGTGCCACCATGCCCCTGCCCCACACCTCCTTTTTTGTATTTTTTAACATAGAGGAGATTTCTCCGTGTTTTCCAGGCTGGTCTTGAACTACTGCCCTCAAGTGATCCACTCGCCTTGCCGCCCCCCCGCCCCCTCCACCCCTGCCAAGGTGCTGGGATTTACAGGCATGAGCCACTGTATAACTCTAATTACAATGAGACAATCTGGCATATTCTTGATGGCTGTGAACGTACAGTTAAGACCTTTGAGAGAATACAGCACATCAAGGAGATTATAATGATGACTATCTGGAGGATAATACCAAGAGACTGGAATATGATAGGTAGCCAAAGTCCTCATGAACCAAAGCAACTAGTATTTCTATGGAAACATAAGGAAAAGAAAGGTCAATGACTAGAATAAATGATGAATTCAGTCTTTCAGTCCAGGGAGAAGTTAATCAATAAGATTTCTAGGTTTGAGTTCAAAGCATATTTTCTTGGTTCACAGTTTGAAAGTCTGTGGTTATGGCATTGGGCATTTTTGTAAACTCCCTGTGGTTCATGTATCAGACATGAGGGTTGTCCTCTGAAGTTACATCAAGTTGTCCATCTCCAGGTTACAGGGTTCCAAGAATAGAGCAGTTCTTGTTCTTAACAATTCCAAGTCAGAAGAGTGGGAGAAAATTAGATCGAGGCATGTGGAAGAGTTCAGGATCCAGTCCAGTCTACAAGAAGATAATGAATCTTGAAAATAATGAAAGGACTGCTATTCAATAACAGATGTATTTTAATTTTTTTCTGAAGCATAATTTTTCTCTTTATATAGTCATAATGATTTCTATGGAATATATCAAAGTAACACTAATTTGATTGCAAAATAACTTTAGTGTCATCAAACTTAGTCTGTTTGCAAGAGTATAGCAATAATAGCAATGGACTACATCATATATTTTTTTAAGTCTGCTCTGCTGAAACTTTTGATAAGGGATCTCAGATGAGACTTTTAAAAGCCTCTTGAAGCTAAGAAGCTGAGGACTCACTATCAGACTGTAATACCTATATATTTGATTGAATTTTTCTCTTCCTGAGTTCACCAAAGTATCTTGGGGTGTCCGACCCTCTCAGGAAGTAATATTCTTTAGTCACGGCAAGGCTAGGAACACTGTAAGAAAACTACTATGTATTCAAGTTAACAAGTTAATTTTTTTCAGGGGCCAATATTGACTCCATAAAGTCAACCTTAGGTTCTTAAAACTTTGTATCTGAAAATATCACATTATAATCAAAGCCCTGGTAATATAAACGATGTTTGCAATTGTGCCCTGTTACAAAGAGAACAGATTCTTAGTGGACTTATGCAAATAACTGTAATAAATACTCACTGATACTTTCTAAATTCTGCAGAGATCAGCTAAAAAGAGATGTTAAATGTTTTAATTCTGTTTACAAAAGTATACTTTACCCAATTGTTGTAAGTTATCGATAGCTTAAGATTCAAAAGAAAGTTTCATTAAATCTAGAAAAAAAGAAACATTAAAATAATAAAACAGTGAAACTTCAAATAAAAATCCACAAATATTCTCATCAGTGTATTGAGTCCCATGTAATTAATTATTCTATTAAATTTTGGAAGAATTTCACAAACCCATTAGTTTTTTTTCACTAGAGTTCTGTAAACTCTTATCAGTCTAATGGTATAATCTTAAAATTATCAGAAACCTGTATTACAGAATATTTTTTATTGATCTATTTGAAGGTGCAACACATTAGAATTATAGTTGCTTGCAAAAAAATATTCAAATAGTATTAGAAAAACCTACTAACTGTGGACAATAGGACCTAAAATGACTATGGTTAAAGATCTCACGATAGGTCATTATAAAATGACTCAAATGACAAGGAAATTTGATATTTTACTGTGGCTTATGACATTTTAACATAATAACCAACATTAAGGCAGATATATCAGATTTCTAGGATTTCCATACAATTTTTGGAGCACATTTTAACAGATACATAAAATATAATTCAAACATTAAACATCGATTTTTAAATTTTACAATGCTTCCCATATAATTTAACGTATCAAATAAGCCTAATTAGTTTAATATCTTTCATTTTCAGACACCTTCTGATATTCCACGAGTCCTCTGACGTGTCCCGAAATTAGTTGGAGGTCAAAAAGGCTTAGTTTGCAATTTCCTTGTGGGAAGTTTCTGGAAAAGAAAAAAAAAGAAAGAAAAAGTGTAAAACACTTGATTAAACACAATCTCTGTTCAATATGAAATGATGAAAGGTAAATACAGAGAAGTTACATAGTTGAAAAACATACTCTTTAAGTATTGAGAAGAGTTACTTTTCTTAAGTAATTAAAGACCTAATAGAAGATAATAGAGAATACAAGTTGCTTGCAAAAAAAAAAAAAAGAGTCAAATAGTATCAGAAAAAAAGTCTTTAATTAGCAATGGACAACAGGACTTAAAACTACCATAATGTTGTTGCATAGGTTGTGAGAAAACCCCCATTGTTCAGGGTGAAAAATGAACTACTCTAACCCCTTTCACCTTCTCACTTGTGAAAATGGTGTTGACTCAATGCCTGTGACATATTTTCATGCAGAAGACGAAGCAAAGTGTACCAATTGTTCCTGTTCCTCACCCTTGATACTGTGAAGGCTCAGGAATTTGTCAATAAAAGATAGAACGTTGTATCTGTGGTGTTATCACTTTGGTGACAATGACAATCATCTCTGCTCTGAAGCTGGTAGGAAGATGCAAAACAAAGACAATAGTCAATTGTGTTGCAGAACAGGACTGAATAATAAAACAAGGCCAAAACCTTACCTTGTTGAAAGCATAAGGTTTACAATATCAAACTGCATAACAAGTCACACTAAGGCTCAGTATCTTCTTTGATGCCTGCATCTCACGAAAATGATTCAGCTGCAAAGAGAGCATGAAGAAATAAACTGCCAATTCTGCTGTCTTACCAAGGGACCCTACAGCAAGGTAGCATCAACTATATCGGCAGCCACCAAGGTCCTCACCCCTGAACATAAAAGAAAAGCATCCACTCTCAAAATTATAACATCATATAAACATATTATTTAGATTTTTGTTGAATAACACTTGCTGAATTTGATAAAACTACCTTCTGCTGAATAATGACAGTGGGATTACTATTCTCATGATAGACCAGACCCTCTTGATGGAGAAAAGGAAAACAAATGGCGGCTATGGTAACATAGTCACTGACAAGAGCAGACCATGAGGGAAGAGCTAAGAACATTCAGGAATTTTTTGACCTTGTAATTATCTGGGGATATGAATGGAAAGTCCATGCTTTTATTAAATGTGGGTAGGTGGGTAGGGGGGCATTGTTTATTCAATATTGAATTTCCTTCTTTATATCCTTTGGGAATCTTAATAAATAAGTGAAGTACACCCAAGCCTAGACCAAACTATTCTCCTCTGAAGTTGACTAAATTCTTTGTAAACGACTAAGGACCTTGGAATTCTCTAACATATAAAATGGTCAAAATCTTATCTGAAGAATTCCAATGAAACCTCTTCACATATTACTGACATATTTGGTGCTGAATATTTTAAGTATTTAAGAAGTGAGCAATAAAACTGTAGGAAATATAGCAATATATCAAGTTAATGAGTTAAACAGATATTCTCAGTATAATTTTATTTGAATCAGAAATATTTATACGTAAATCTTATACATTAATTTCTACAATTTATGTATAAAATTTTAATTACATAGTTTTGTTAACAAATTAACAAGCTTTTATATTAAATGGCTGAACTGAAATCCTTTCACTCAAATAAATTATTTCATATAGTGAATGACATTTATCAAATGTGTCGTCGTTGTCTCATTTAAGAATAAAGAAAAAGGAAAACTTACTTGAACACCTTTTGTAAGAAACGAATCGCGCGGTGGCTCACGCCTGTAATCCCAACACTTTGGGAGGCTGAGGTGGGCGGATTACAAGGTCAGGAGATCGAGGCCATCCTGGCTAAAATGGTGAAACCCCGTCTCTACTAAAAAAAATACAAAAAATTTAGCCGGGCGTGGTGGCGGGCGCCTGTAGTCCCAGCTACTCGGGAGGCTGAGGCAGGAGAATGGCGTGAACCCAGGAGGTGGAGCTCGCAGTGAGCCGAGATCGCGTCACTGCACTCCAGCCTGGACGACAGAGCGAGACTCCGCCTAAAAAAAAAAAAAAAAAAAAGGGAAATGAATCCAATCCCTAATAAAAGATAATCACAATTAAATTATACCTTTTGTCATTGTGTGGAGAGATTTTAAACATTCAAACGTTTTTCATCCCATTAGCAATAATCTGTCAATCATCTTTCCAGATGGTTGTCTATGACCATAAAAAGGTGCCAACCTACAAAATGGTAACCCTGTTAATATAACCCTATGAATATAACATAAAAAGATGCCAACCTACAAAATGGTAACCCCGTTAGATAGTATATAAGTAATCTCCTATAGCTTCACTCAAAGTCAGCAATTTAACTTATTTATTTTTAAATATGGTGGGCTTACAACCATGTTTTTCTAATGGATAGCCTCTCACGCTAAAATCAGGGGATGTGGCTATGTGTCTCTTACTTGTAGTTTTCACTGAAATAAACCTAAGATATCAGAGAGAAGCCTAAAGTAGAGTTACCCTACCTAAAGCTGCTTGGCCATATTGATAGATTTTTGTCCACCCTATATACTAGGTATAAAATTGAATACATAACAAACTGGCTAAGTAGTGTGGTGGAGTCACTATACCACTGGCCAGTGTTATAATAACTCCATAGACAGATTTTTCCATTGAATGGAGTAAACAGAATAAAAAGGGAAATAATCAGATGTTAATATTAAAAGTGACAATTTCCTTCTGTTGCATGCTTAGGAAATTGGTGGCAATGCACCCCCAGTCTCTCACTATATATGAAATCATTTAACTCTAGCTACACATCCCTTGCCGATATTTTCTATCTTGAAATAATAAAGAAACAAATAAGAATAATACAGGCTTTCTTTAAGCTTGATGTCTCCTAAATTTCTTTTCTAATTTCCTGGTAGATGGTAGGCTCTTTAAGCAAATATATTGTGCCTTTGTACCTTTATAACCCAAGATGGATCCTTGCACATTGTAGTGGCATAGTAATTACTTCTGTGACTGAATAGAATAATTTCATCACTAACCTTCTTGACAGATTGCAGTATACATGTTGTGCATATTTTTCATACTGACTTTATCTCTTGTAACATTGCTTCAACTCTAAATTCTCTTGGAAAATAATTTGTAAATGTTCAGTGCCCTTGTAATTAGCCAGCCCTTAGAGTTATTCTACAGACTCTACCACCAAAGAGTATACAGCTGTCTTATTGTAAATGTATCTTCTTTTTAGTGTGAAGTTCTGAGATAATTCTTTCTTTCTTTCTATATTCCTGCCTACTGACTCTATTTAAATTACTAAATATTTTTAATATTAATATAATAAAAGAATATCCTGCAAAATAATTTTGATTTTCAGGACAATTGCATTGGATATGTCTATATTGTCTGGTTTAAAATACATTGTAAAATATGAATCATCACTGATATCAATTATCTTTTGTTATAACAAAACACCCTCAAACAGACTCTTAAAAAGTATGCATTGTCCTTAAGTTTCTGTGGGTTGGGTTATTGTTCACATTTGAACTGGCTCAGCCAAACTTGGCTGAAGTCGCTCAACAAATAAGGTAGGATGGTTTAATTCACTTGTCTGGAAGTTGGCAAGCTATTGACTGAAACAACCACTGCAAATGGGTTACTTGTCTCTTCCCTTACAACGTACTAGTCAGGAGTTCTTAATATAGCCATTATATGACATTAAGAACAGAAAACAAGGGCAAGCTCAGTTGTGCAAATACTTAAACAGACTCTACTCGCTTGAGTTTTCTTTTGTTCATCAGCCAAAGAAGTCTGGGAAATTATTGTACTGGAATTAGTATGGAAAGGAGCTACCAGAGTCAGTAAAGAAGCAAAATTTCAAAGAGTGTGAATATAAAGAATAGTGAACATAATGCAAAAATCTACAAAATGCCTCCTGCTTATCCCAATAATTTATGGACCTCTTACAATAGAAAAAAACACATATCGACTCCTAACACCTCCAGATGTCTCTTCTAATTATTGTGTCACACACTGAATCCAGAATTTCATGATTTAAAATTGTATGCACATTTGGCTTTTCAGATGTTTTTCCTATCAATTCAGTATGCAAGCAATATACATAGATGATATAAGGACAAAGTAATAGTAATACTTACTCCATTTGAAAATGGGAAGAATGGGACATACATGGCAGCCACTTTTCCATAGAAATGTTGAAATCCCACCAGCCACACAATTCTCCCTATTCTGGAGTTATGAAATATTTCTTAAGACTATGTTCTATCCTAAAAGCACACAATGTCCATCCAAAATTGTCTATGGACTTTTGTGTTATGATCTAAACTCCTTTTTTTCCATAAAAATAAGCCATGTTAGAAGCTATCTTTCTCATCCTGCTTTCTGGCTTCAGCGTGCCAGGTGCTGAAAGATCCTTGTAATTCAAGCTAGCATTGCTTTCACTAATATAATTTGCTTAAACATTCTCTGGGTTTCCTCTAAACCTGATTTTCTTTACTGCATGCATTACTATCCACACCCACAGTTATTTCTGGGGAGGCTTTGGTAAACTGTGGGCATGTTAGATTGCTGTGAGACAATGTTCTTAAGATTCTTAGAAGTCCTTTTGTCTAGCAGAGAGGAAACTACTGAAGTCATTCAGAAATCTTATCAGTGGTCTCTAGCCATACCTTTTACTTTATTTCGAACCTGACGCTATTTCTTGCTTCAAGAACTTTTGCAAACTTGAAATCATAGAATTGATAAAAAGTTTTATTTTTTAAATCAGAGAGTTCTGATTAGAGAGAATCCATATTCTCTCTAAATTATGTATGCAGATTGTAATGTTTTAGTTTAGTTCATCTCTTTCCTGCATATTATTGTAGACAGTTAAAAAAAGAAACAAATGATACTTTCCAATTTCTACCTGGAAATCATCTGCCAAAGTCCACAAGCTCATTATATGCATTTTTCACACCCCAAGTTACCATAGTTAAGAGTTTTCATCATTTCGTTATCACATAATGTAGGTTTCCATTTTCCAGGCTTCTTTAACAATTTCCTTACCACATCAACAGTCAGACATATTGTCTCATCCCAAATTCAAACCGTATACCTAAAATTTTGTTTATGGCAGCATCTAATCTCTATATTATTTCATCTATTTCTGTAGCAGTTTCACGTATTTCTACATAACAAGCCATCTAGAAACATAGTCTCTTAAAATAAAAAAAAATTTTGCTCACAATTCTGTGAGTTGACATATTCATTTTAATTAATTGTGATACACATAAAATTGAAAAACTTAAGAGAAAGTTGTATATATGTGTATATATAATACAATGAATTTGAAAATAGATATCAATTATTAAAGCTCATAATTAGATAACTTGTGAATGAGAATTGAAATTGTAAGATATAGATCTACAGGTAATCAAATAGTTGGTACCAGGAAAGTCTTTCAACTAATACAAAACCGCTGTTTTTATCAGTAGACTACTATAACAAAGTACCACAGAATGGACTGCTTATAAAACAGGAATTATTTTCTCACAGTTCTGAAGGGTGAAAGTCAAAGTTCAAGGTGCCAGCGTGGTCGGATTCTGGTGAGGGCCATCCTTCGGGTTGCAGATTTCCGTCTTCTCCTTGTATCTCTACACAGCAAGAAAGCTAAGTAATTCTCCAGCCTCTTCTGATCCCATCTGTGAGGCCTCCACCCTATTGTGAGGCTCTCATCCCACTTGTGAGGGTTCCACCCTGTTGACCTAATTACTTCTCAAATGACCCACCTCTCAAATCTTATCACATTGGAATTACAGTTTCTACATATAGATTTATGGAGCTAAACATTCAGTACAAAAAACCATACATATAGTTGGTGAGATAAAAATATAAAATTCCATTATTTGACAAAATAATAAGAGGAAATAGCATGAGAGAAGTGTGGTCTTATAATATGCCATGAATGTATCTATCAATAATTCAGGCATATGAAATAAGAAAGATATGGTTTAAGTTGGAATCAAATAGAGAGTGCTTTAGTAATACTAGTATTTGTAGTTTAAAAATGCCAACCTTTAACATTAGCTCCAGAACTTGACAAAATCTAGTTCGTGGATGTGGTCAGGTAGTAAGTATCAGCTTTAGAAATAAGTTTATATTCCATAAAACAAAGAGAACATGACATTTCCTGTTATATGAAGGGAACTTAAAGAGACATGGTTGTCTTCCAGATGCTTAAGCTATCAACTACATGTTGTATCTTTTGACAAGGAGCGCCAATAATTATCATTGTCTGCTTCCCATATCTTGATTTTTTATGGGAGGTTTTCTTCTTTCTCTGTACATTATCACATTTAGATAAATCTAAATATGTCCTTTTCTTTTCCTCATGGGATTCATTCTAATATCTGTGTGTCAAGTCTTTTTTTTTTTTTTCATACTCATTCTCACATTTATGGTGAGGACTTTTGCCTTCCAAGTCAAGTCTGGAGATATTTTGTACCAATGAACACAAATACCTTCGTAAGTGTCCATTATCATTCACAAACTCAAAACCTCATATTTCTAAGACAGAGTCTACTTACATATTTAAATTATTAAAATGCTCTTTTCTTGAGCACAATGATCATTTTACATTTCCCAGGACAATAGGTGAAAAGACTTACATTTGTGTAACTCTCCTTTCCATCCATAGCATCATGAAAACTGCTGGAGTGTCTCTGCAAGGGTTTCAGAACATCTTAGGTTTATTTTCATTTATTTAGCACTTTTATCACCTACTGCTGAGTTCTATTTCCTCCTATAAAACTCATCAAATCTGATCAAATCACATCCTCACTCCCATTTGTTTTCATCAACATGAAATACTGATACCTCCAGTGGGGTACAAGTTGAACTTGAAAAGAATGGGAACATCTATGACATTTTCTTTTAGAGTATATTGACAAACCTTCTCTAAGTTATTTCCTCCCAGTCCCAGACATCATAGATTACCTGAGAGAGAAAGAGTGGTATTAACAGCTGCAGTCTGAGGGAAGTATTCTTATGAAACCAAACAACTGACACTTTCTACATCCCTAGAGATTCTTACCACAAAACTGTTTTGAAGAGGAAAAAATGACTGCCAAGCTTCCTGAGGAATTGATACTAGCTATATAATGACCAGAGAAATTCAGAAAATCCCTGTGGATCCACATTAAGTATATGTCCATTAATTTATGTCCAAATGACTCTCCATTCTACTCTTAGTTTCTTAGCAATTCTAAAGGAGAGAAACTCCATACACTGAGAAATCAATAATCACAGCATCAGTTATTCTACTACTTGTAGAAAGGCATCAAAAGTGAGAATAATTAAAACCAACATGAAGTTAGAACACTAATATCCTGTATTTATTCCTTTAATGTTATTTCCTGATACATGGTATAATAATATATTTTTACGTCCTCAGAGATGACTGAAATTTGAAGGCAGACACTGTGCCTTATTCATACTTTCCCACAGCTTAGTACAGGGTTTGGTGTGTATTCGATTCTCCCTAATTCTTTCATAGAAAAGTGGTTGGATAAATGAATGAATGATTGAATAGATATGTTACTCCATAATCATAAAAACATTGAATGAAAAACCTGTAATATTATTCAAACAAAAAGATTATAAGGGCTTTACTTTTACAGCTTTGTTTTTTGAAAAAGCCATTACGATTGAACAGAGGAAAAAAAATCCTTCTTTAAATGTGATAAAGGTCTCATGCTCTTTGACATTTTGTCTAAGTAATTAAGAATCTTCTAAGAATTTTGAGCAATGTGCCAACATATCATATATAGATTGTTTTGTAAATGTCTTTAACAAATCTTCTCTTTTTTAATTAATGAAAAGGAAATCTGTTTATAATAAATTGGAAAGTAATGGTAGTGTGAAAAAATATCATTGAAACAGAATGTTTATTGGAGAAGGAGCTAGTGGGCCATCTGTGTAATTTAAAGGATTTGTTTAGGAGTGTGAAAAGGTACATTGTGATCAGACACCAGAGTTTATCCAAAACAACTGTAATATTTAAGGTTATATTCACCTGTGAGTAATAAAAAACAAAATTAGCATAGCAGTGACTTCATCAATGTGGAAATGTTTTTGTTTGTTTGTTTGTTTGTTTTTGTTTTTGTTTTGTTCTCAAGCAAATAAACCTGAAGGTAGTACAGGACTATTATATTAGGAGCCAGTTTACTACTCTTGACCTGCTTTACTATACTTTCCATTAATTTACTCCAGATTCAATTTAGCTAATAGAAGGCTGAAGAACACACCACTTCCTGTTAAAACACATCCTGGAAATTACAGAGGTACATTTTCATTCTTTCAATTGGCCAGATCTCAGACATATGACTACAGCTATTTCCAAGTAAGCCTTCAAAATATAATGTTTATCTCAGATGGTCATGTACTCAGTCAGTTCCAGGGAAAAAAGAAAGAAAACATTATGTGTATAATTATCAGTTTTGACTCCAAGATGAAATAAATGTACAATGTCTATATTTGGTTAAACAGGGTATTTTGAAAGTATCAAGTTCGGACTCAGGTTCTGAGTCTGAACAAACATGAAATGATATATTCAGGTATGATGGTTAATTTTATGTGTCATTTTTGCTAAGACACAGTACATACCTATTTGGTCAAACATAACTTTAGCTGTTACTGTGATGTATTTTTTATTGTTGAGTCTCATTTTAAAAATAAAGTTTATTATGTATATTTGAGGTTTACAACATGATGTTATAGGATACATATTGATAGTAAAATATTTACTATAGTGAATCAAATTAACATATCCAGTATCTCACACAGTTATTTGAATGACAACAACAGCTAAAATCTACCTATTTGAGAAAAATATCTGTGAAGTATTTTTTAGGTAAGATTAATATTTAAGTCAATAGACTTTTAGTACATATATTAGCCTCCATAATGTGGGTTGGTGGGCCTCATCCCAGTGAAAAGTTTTACTAGAAAAAGACTGACCTCTCCAGAAGAAGAAGGAATTCATCCACCAGGCTGCCTTCTTACTTGAACTAACACATTATCTCTTCCCTTGGTCCCCAGCCTACCTGCCTCCCCTGAGTATTTTGAACTTATCAAGATGTACAATCTCATGAGCAACTTACCACGATAAGTTTCCCTTCTCTCTCTCTCCCTCTCTCTCTCTCTGTGCACACACACACACACACACACACACACACACTCACACACAAATATATGTATGCGTGTCTCCTATTAGAATCCTAATACATCAGTTTTCTGATAGACATAATGTTATTTAGAGCTTTCTTGGAAGGAGATGAATAAATCAATATAGAAAGAGAAAGAAATCATGAGAGAAAGAGCATCAATACCATAATCTTTTGTCTCTGTGGTTTAAATACAATAAAGTACATAATACATTCCATATCTGGGAATAACTCTATCGTATGTCATATGACATAAAAGTCAACCAGACCTCTAATATTGACTTTTCCCAGGGAGGGCAAAGGAACAGTGACCAGTGGATTTATAATTATTCCACAGGTAGGTGTTGTAGAAAACGTTTGACTTTAAAAAAATGTGCACATGAATGACGGTGATTTGCTGTGATACCAAGTTGTCATGGAAATTTTGATATGGCATACTTTAGCCCTCACCTGTCCTTGAGGGGAGAGATTCTGGAAGGAATAGGCTAAAAATTCTCTAAATTTGTATTGTGCTATTTTTCATTCATCTATTGATGCATAAGAAATTATCCTAAGACTTAGTTTCTTTAGATGATGATTCTGTGGCTCATGAATTTGACCTAGTCTCAACTGGGCAGTTTGGATCTGGGTCAAGCTCCACTCTTCTTGATGGTCTTACTACACATCAGGGACCTCACCTTGGAGGACTGAGATGGATAAAAAAGAAGAGATAACTGTCGCAACCAAGGCCTCTCCCTGTGTGGTTTCTCATATACCAGATTATCCAGGTTTCTTCGTATGACAATGGCAGGGTTTCAAGGGCCTCTAGAGTGAAAGCATGCAAGGCCCCTGAGTCCTGGACTCTGAACTTACACTTTTGTAACACATCACAAAAAGAGTCAAGACTCAATGGATAAATAAATAACATCTACTTTTGATGAAAAAAGTGCAAATTATTTTGACCACTCTTTCAGTGTGTCACATGGGAGCTCTAATTCTAGCACTTAGAGATATTATTTATGACAACGATTAACACCAAGCTGGTGACATATGATGTTATTTAAATTCAGTTAATGGTAATGATAACCCACTTTAAAAATATACCTGCATTTTAATGCATTTCTTAGAGAAAGCTAGTTGAAACTTTTTAGTACTTACTAGCAGATTGACCAGCATGATTTAAATTTACATACTAAAAAATGGACTTGTTGACAAAAATAACTTGTTCCAAATAATATATGACTGTCAAAAACAATGCTGCCTATATAATACCAAAGTCTCATTTTTGTTGACTTAAAGAAGTTTCACCTTGGATGGCTGAATAATTATGCATGTCCTCAGAAACAGTATCTGCGATTGGGTGCAACACATTTATTGCTCTCTAGGTAAAACTATTTGTTTAGCAAAGCAAAAAAAGTTGGCAATCAAGAGACTTTTCCACTAAATGCATTGAATATTTAATGGCCTTATTATCTCCTCTTTGCTTAGCTTCTGTTGTTATATTGCCATTTCAGAAAGCAGAAAATAGGTCACAAGAGTTCTACTGGCTCGATGCTTATGGTGACAGGGTGGTCCTTGAGTGACTTTTCCCAGTTGCTCTCCCATCAGTGTCCTTAATTCAGCCACAGACTATAGGACATGGTTGTAAGGGCTGTAGAACTTGTTTGATTTTATGGAAGACATATTTTTACTGTAGCCTTTCCATGAACCGGTCCCCAGTCCTCCAATCCACCATCACTATCGGTATTCTCTGTGACTACTACAAATACTTTTATAGGTCGCAAGCCAAATTCATCATGCTTATATTTTTCTGAGTGAAATCTTATTGATTTAATTCTATATTCTCCCATTACTTCCTTGATGGCGTATACTATGTACATTACAGTATTTATTATATATCACAGGATTTTTAGAATATAAAATATTTAAAGACATAAGTATTCAAAAAGTGAATAATGATTACATAATAATTATGTAAATGCATTCTGCATTCTGACAATGAAGTACATTTGTATGAAGTATGTATCTTATATTATAAGGTTATAACAAATAAAAATAATTTTTACTCTAAAATTTGTTTAAAAAATACCGAAATATATTTTACATACAAAACTGAAAAGAAAAATTTATATGAATGCATTAAAATATGAAGGTTTTTTTACTTCAAATTTTCTGAATTTTTTTACTCAGTATATAAAACATACAATGTTGATATTGGATAGAACATATTATTTTTGGCAGATTATATTTTCCTGTATATTATATATTTAGAGAAGACATTCTTACATCATAACTTTCTATAATCAAGAATAAGTAGTTTATTTCCCTTCATCATTACCAAATGGGCTTAGTGTCTGTATGTAAAGACAAAGGGCTTTCACAAACTAGCATAGATGCCTTTCCACTGGCTTTTTTTTTTTATGTTGTTGCTCCACTTCTACCCTCTTCCATGCTAAGAGCTACTTAGTCGTTGCTTGGTGTGAAGCAGACGTTTGTAGTTAGTAGTCACAGTCCTGGTTGCCTTCCTAAAGCCTGAGTTCCTTTAGAGTAACATAAAAGTAATAATTTCTCTGCAAGGTTATTAAGAATTTTGGGGTGGAAGGATAACTTTAACATTCTAAGAGTCCTTATGTTTGATTTTCAAGAAGATATTAAGTAAAATAGAGAAATATCTTAAAAATAATTGCAGCTTTAGTTGAAAACTAGGAAGGGAAAGAAAAACTGTAGACCAGAAATACAGAATTTCCCGCTAAAAGACATACACGCAATAACAGCAAATATCAAAAACTGAGATCTGGCTTGTAAGTAGACTGCTAAAATAAGGCCAGAGAAAGGAGCCACAACTGCATTGTGGAAGGCCAGATTCAGGTTTGCTGAACAGATAGCTGTGTCACTACATCCCCTACTCATAAAATCCAGCATTTAAGACTGGAAACAAGCCCATGGCTGACAGCAAAAAAATAAAGTGACTCTGGGATCTGACTGCCAATATAATTGTTGAGAATAACTTGCCTATAGCGATCAAAAATGAAAATCTTGGAGTTACAGTTGATGCCTTCTCTCATATCCAATACCCAGATCATGAGTGAATCCTGTATATTCTACCTTCAAAATGTATTTAAAATCCAATGAATTCTCACTATTCCAAATTACAACCTTAAGCCAAGCCATGATAACCTCTTAATATAATTTTGGGAGCAGCTCCTCAATGGTGTTTCTACTTCATCCTTATTTCAAACAGTCTATTCTCCACGTATAACCCAGAATCATGATTTTAAAACAAGTCAGCTCGCCAAACTCTATAGAACTGACCAAAGGCTCACTGCCCTACAAAGGAAGGGCTGGATTCTTTTTAATTACCTTAAAATAATTGAAGTGGTTTACCCCTCCTATTCATCTGCCTCCCCAATTACACCTGCTACACCTGCTGTTATACTCACATCACTCACTTTATTCTAGCCATACTGGGCTTCTTGCTATTTCATGAAGTATGTTTCTCACTCCAAGGTAGAATATAGAAAATGTATAATAAGCTTTTGAACATTGATAGATGATTTTTGGGACCTTATGATTTAGCCCATGTCTTTTGGATCTATGATAAAAGAGTTTATTAGAAAAATCTTTTCTAAATACACTGGTAAGCTACACTATGTATAGTTTCATATATATATATACATATATATATATATTTCTGAGCTCTCTGTTTCTTACACTATACTTATGTCTTATACTATATATATACTATACATATATGTATATATGTACTATATATATATATACACATATATATACTATAAGAAACAGAGAGCTCAGTAATGAATCCACACATCTGTAGCCAACTGATCTTTGGCTAAGGCATCAGCAATGTACCATGGGGAAAAGACAGTCTCTCCAATAAATGGTGTTGGAAAAATGAGATATTCACATGCAGAAGAATAAAATTGGATCTTTATCTCAGCCCATATCCAAAACCATCTCAAAATGAATGAAAGCCTTGAATGTAAGACTTGAAACTGTAAGACGACTAAAAGAAAATATAGGAAACAAATTCCTAGACAGGTTTAGCAAACGATTTTTGGGATATGACCCCGAAAAGCATAGTCAACAAAAGCATAAACAGACAAGTAAGATTATATCAAATTAAAATATTCTTTTTGCATAGCAAAGAAACAAACAGGGTGAACAGACAACCTATAGAATGGGAGAAAATATTTGCAAAGCAAAAAATATGCTAAGTGGCTAATATCCAGAACATAAAAAGAACTCAAGCAACTCAATAATGAAAAAACAAATAATCTCTTTTAAAAATGGGCAAAATACCTGAATTGACATTTCTCAAAAGAAGACATACAATAGCCAAAAGCTATATGAAAAAATGCTCAACATCACTAAATATCAGAGCAAAGCAAACTGAAACCACAAGCTTATAAACATTTGCCATTATTAGCCTGACAACTGAATATGATTTAGTAAAAAATACAAACATTGGCTGGGCACAGTGGCCACGCCTGTCATTCCAGCATTTTGGGAGGCCGAGGCAGGTAGCTCGCTGGAGCTCAGGAGTTTGAGACTAGCCTGGGCAACATGGAGAAACCCCCTTTCCACTAAAAATACAAAATTAGCTGGGTGTGGTGGCATGCGCCTGTAGTCCCAGCTACTTGGGAGATTGAGGTGGGAGGATTGCTTGAGTCTGGGAGGCAGAGGTTGCACTGAGCCGAGATGGAGCCACTGTACTCCAGCCTGGGCGACAGAGCGAGACCCTGTCTCTAAATAAATAAGTAAATAAATAAATAAAAACAAGGTAATTGTTTGTTCTCCTACAGTACATACAAAAAAAAAAAAAAACAAACACTAAATCTAGACTTGAAGTTAGTTTTGACCTTATGTGTGCAGAGCCATATGTGGCTATAATGAAAGATAAATAATATCACTGGTACCTGATATTTATATTAAAAAATAGTTAAGCACATCAAAATCCTGGTGCATGTATTTCAATATTAGCTTTACAAAGAACAGGTTAAAACTTAATGCTTGCAGTTAAAAATATATAAATACATTTCAGTTACATAGTATTTAATGATAGTGGTTGAAATTGCAGATTGAAATTAAATTCCATCTCTGTTATTTTCCTATTGTTAGAAACTGGTTAAGTCACCTAAAGGAGTTTTGAGACAGGTTGAGGGAATATATTAAAATATCTTAACAGTGCTTGGCACAGCTTAAGCATTTTCAGAAGTTAAGTATTGCTGTACACAAATTTAAAAAGCTGAGCTTCACAGTTAAGGCCATTGGAACAAAATGGTCCCTCTTAGACCTATTTATATGTTGTAAAATTTTGCAGATGTAAATTATTGCTCAATTTCTAAAAGAGTATGATTGCAAACTGTCCAATTAACAACTGTAGTTATCAATTCATTTTTAAAGCTTATTTTTATGACTGATCACACTATTCTATCACTTAGTCTTATAAAACCATAATTTTATTAAAATGAGGATATATAATCAAATTAATCTTTACTATTTGTTAAAGAAGTATGTTTCACGTTTCTACTAGTAACATTATCATGATTACCTGTGCAGACACTTATACTTGTGTGTGTGAGTGGAATATAATACATATGAGTGCCCTTTCCTAGGTTTATTTTTTTATTATATAGACTTCAGCTTAAAAATAAGATAATTTTTACTATATTCTAATTATTTTATCCATGAAAATACTGAAGAGTTAATGTATGATTTGATGATTGATCTCCTAATTAAGTTTTTACTAATTTGCATATATCTCAGATCCATTCAAGAGAAAATAAAACATTTCACAAGAAGATTACTAATCAAACCTAATAGTTAATATGTCAAGCATTTAAAGTTCTTATAAACACTTTGTTACTCTCCTAATAAATTGTTTTGCCAAATATTCTATACATTCCAGCATTGGCCTTGAATTTTTTGCAATGTTTGACTTTATATTATTATACTCATCTGTGTTATTTTACTTTTGCTTTTACTCAAATCTGTATCAAAATGTTGAAATACCAATTATCCTCTATATGAAAATAATTAATTTGTCTTTTAAAATTGCTTTTGTTTCATATTGACTATTTTGTTTTTAATTATGTTTGTTTATAAATAAAACACTTTACATGAACATAGTGTATATGATAAATATAGTAAATAATCGAATAAAGGTGTATTATGTTATTATGTTTTCTAATGTTAACTACTACATGATTTTGTTATAAAGTTGCAAAATGAACTTAATCACTATTCTTTTTATGTTGTAATGTGTGATCTTTTAATGTGCTTAAAACTTGCTTTAACCTCTGAGTTGGAGGCTCTCTTATTCAGAGGCAAGGAACAACTACTGGCTAAATCAAATATATATTTCAAACAAGGATATTTTAAATTTCAGTCAGGGAAACATAGCTTTTATGTTAATGCTTCCATTTTTATCAAAATTGGTCTCTTTCTAAAATGATTCCACTCAACTTACCCTACTCATTAACATGAAATATATGAAGGACATGTGTCTCTTACAAAGCTAATAATACCTCTGTCCCTAGAGAAAATGCAATATGAATACCAAAAGTTGATGGGCTGGATTGTCTAAAAAATGGGGTGCAGATGGGAAGGTCTCATTTGAATAATTCAGAAACAACTCCATCTAAAAGTTTGAAGAAGAATTTTTACAACTTATTGAGGTCACCTTCATCTCTTACATATTAATTGAAATGATTTTTTTTCTTACTTGTCTTTAAGCATATAGAAGAAGAACATTTGAAGGATCTTGTTAAGCACACTCCAGTACTTAACTATAATATCTTTTCACAGTATTCAGAAGATTGTGCTGGTGAAGTAATACAGTTAATAAAAATGTTACATCATAGAAGTTATAAAGATTTAAATCAAACAAAAATCATCATATTCCAGTCACTGCTTTCTTAATGGCAGTAGATAATTGAGACCTGCTCATTCTAAAGTTAAAAATATCATTTCCTTAAGGAATAGTAGTCTGGAATGGGTTCAGGGGAAGATTAGATAAGCTATGAACTCTGTACTTTGTCTCCGTAGATCAATGAGACCATTAAAAATCAAGTGCATTAAAATTTGCTATCAAATATGGGCTATCAAAGAACATTTATCAAGCTTGCAAATGACACAGTTCCAATTTATTACATGCACAAAAATTCTCATCACTTTTCTATCTTAAGTTCCTTAATTTATCTTGACCTCGCTAGGTCAAGATTTTAGAGGTAAGCAAAAATTTCTGCCCCCTGTCCACATGTCAATAAAAGCAAACAAAATCTTAAATAAAAAGACCTAATATCATCTTTTGCCAATATACACAAATAAATTACATTTAAAATGCTATATTTTTAAAAATAGTATATTCTGTGACATGTGAAAACATGCTCGTTAATGAAATGTGCATGTCGTTATTCTAAGCCATCCAAACTCCAAAGAGTCACAGATTGTCTCTGTAAGAGGCCAAGCTATAGAGCTACAAGTTCACATTACAATGAAAATGAATGGCATATTGAAACATTTGAGGTGGAATATAAAATCTACTTGCATATATAGTGCTAATATAAAAGAAATTTTTTTCTATTGCTGACCATTATAAACTTGTTTATATAATGTTTTTAACTATAATTAAGTCATTTTTCCATATAATCTTTTCCTGAGAATGACATACAAAAGTAATACTAATAAAAGCATTATTTAGGAAAAAGACACTGTTTTTGATCTATGATCTCTTAATTCTCTATGATTAGCTAAAAGAGTACATAATTTTAATTCTGTAATTGAGTCAAAAATGGTTTGAAATTCAAGACAATTTTGAATTTCATCATAAGAAACATTCAGTGATGCATTTTACAATAAAGGAATTATATATACATATATATTATTTATATATATGGTTAATATAATTATAAGAAAATGCAGACATTTCTGTTGATAACCTATTGCCTTTTAAATCAGATCTCTCCAATTTGGACATATGAATTAGCAATTTTTCTTCGACTTAATCATAAAAAATCTATTTGATGTATTGTCTATAATCAAAATATAAAGGGATATTAGAATCAGTTTTAAATTTTATTATGCGATATACTGGGGGTTAATATAACACCTACACTTACACTTGCCTCCTTTTTAGTAGTAGGTATTAGCATAAATATTGATACACTGATAAAACTCACTTTATTATTTATTAATTTACTCACTGAATAATTTCTGTGAATAAAGTTAGAATTAAAATATAACCCAGTAATTTAGCAATGACATATTTGACAGTATAAAGTGTCAACTTGACTTGGCTAAGGGATACACAGATGGCTGGTAAAATGTTTCTGATGTGTTTGTGAGTGTTTTCTGAAAAGACTATCATTTGAATCAGTAGGCTGAGTAACAGTATGCCTTTCCCAGTGTGAGTGGGCATTATCTATTCTGCTGACTGCCTAAATAAAGCAAAAAGGTGAGGGGCGAACATATTCTCTCTCTGTGTCTCTGTCTGTCTCTCTCTCTCCTTAAGCTGGGATACTCATCTTTTTCTAATTTTAATCAGAGCTTCTGGTGTTTGGACCTTTAGATTCCAAGACTTACACCAGCTGCCCTCTCTATTTCGGGCTTGGATTGAATTACATCACTGGTTTTCATGGGTCTCCAGCTCTCAAACCCAGGAAGCTTGGAACTTCTTGGCCTCCATAATCATGTGAGCCAATTCTCATAATAAATCTCCTCTTACATGTGTCTCTCTCTATATAACCCATTGGTTATTTCTCTGGAGAGCCCTGACTAACACAACATGGTAGAGAACTCAGAAGTTTCCTTTTGCTCCTTTAAGCTATTTTGGCCTTCAAAAATACTCTGTGAAAAAGGGCATGAAGCCTCTGTAAAATTACATTAGACCATAGTAATATCTATAGATACTTATTAAGGTAAGTTGCTAAATCTTCACTACTTAACCACTGAAGATAAAAATATTGACATGTTCCATTTCTTGATAACTTCTTACAGTGTAAACCATTTTGATCACCAGAACACTACAAATCAGAAAATAACTTTACACTTTTGATATACATTTTGACAGCAAGTGAGGAACAGAACAAAGAACTTTTGTGATGGGATCAGACATAACTCACTATTTATCAATGTATGATCCTTTGGAATTTGCCTGACTTTTTAAAATATTACTTTATACAATTTGAAAACCAAGAAGAATTTCTCACATTCAGGTATATTGTAACAAAATCAATATATTATGCACATAAAACTTAGCAAATGATATTTTGACATATTTGTAATTTAAAAAGAATGAGTGATTCAGTGTAATGTTGGAAATAGTAAAAACTATAAAGTAACACTAATCAGAGTTCAAATCATGAAATTGAGCTGTATGACCTTGAGAAAATTTTTAAGAGTATTTCAACATTCATGAATTTATCTTTACTGGAATATAAAAAGTCCCTCTTTAAGGATTAAATTAGATACCCCCATTTGCAAATCGTCTAACATAAAACAGTTATAGATATTACAAGATTTATTTTTATAAATGACAAGATTTAAAATTGTTATTCTTTAATTATTAGAACTAAAGATCAGAAGATGACCTACCTTGATTGAGATACCATTTGAACACTCCAATTTCTGATTTCTCGAGACGAGTTAGCCATATGATAAGAGATATTCCAAAGAAAGGAGACACACTCTAAAGACTCATTCAGGCAATACTCTACTAATTATTACTTGTAAATTTAGTACTGTATCTAGTAATAATATGGTGTCTCTAAATGTACCTTTCTTTTCCATAATCTAAGAAAGGAAAAGTACATTGAGAGGTAGCATGAATGGTGTTATGCCATCATTGTATTCCATATAAAATTATATTTATTTTTATCTTGAAAGAAATGAACATATAACATTTGAATAAAGGCATTCAAAATAACAATGTCAACACCATGGATTCTATTTCATAAGAGCAAAACGTTGTTTGGTGATATTCTAAACACTAAAAAAAAATAACACTGCAGTATCTTCATTTATTTATGAGATTTAAGGATTTTTAAAATGGCTTTCAAAAATATTTGAGGAAATTACTTTTAATAGTTTGTTAAGCAAGCAAAGAGAAAATATCCCATTGTCTTTCTTTAACAGTTTACTTTGTGAAATAAAGTTTTTAATTTTCTGGATAAAAGATGAAAAACAATTTGAAAAGGACAACAATCTAAATCCTATGACTACCGAAGAAGGACTCAAGACACTTATGCAAATATGATGTTCCAATGTAATTATTGAGAAAATAAGAAATGTCATTCAAGATAACAGGTGCCATATCCTGGGGCACACTTTCTACAACAAGTACGTAATAGATGCTGTGAGTCTATTACTGATGGATAAAAAAAGCATTTTAGTAAGCCATATAATGGAATTCAACCCAAAGATCCAATTACAATTACATCAAGTAATTTATATGATACTTTTATACTATGCTCCCAAGAGTTTCTTAAAATAAATAAAATTTTACAAGATATTTTCTCAAGACTATATATGAACTATACTTACAAATGTCTTCTAATGTTGATTATTTATCTTTTTAAATTCTAAAATCACATTGCTATTCTTACTATAATATTCTTACACAAGGTTAGCAACATGGCATTAGTCTACCATAAAAAATTATTCAGTAGAGCAAAATTTCAACATCATTTCAGAAATGCAAAGGTTCCTAATAGATAGAGACCTAAAAAGTATTAAAAGTTCTTAATATAGTATTTATAAAGTGTTTTTGATTGGGGAAATAATAAAGATACTGGAAGGTAACATTATTGTATAAAGTTTAATGAGGCAATCACTTTTGAGTTGAAGCAGAAAATTTATATTCTGGTGTTTCCCATTTGGATAAAAAAATAACATTCACATTTATTTTTTTGCATTCCAAATAGTTTATTGCTGTATCAAGTGTTCATGTCTTCAGATTATCTTTGGGCAGTGCATACCTTGAGTCTAGACACATTTATATTATCATGGGCATTTTTAATTTGATGAGTAACCTATGCTTTTAATAAGCATGTGGGTTTCATTTTGATTGAAACAATTAATATATGATAACTAACCACCCAAGCACATTAAGGGGTAGATCAGGAACAATGACTGAAAATTTACATATCAGAAAAATGTGAAGTTTTTGCTAAAATTGTGAGTAGTTTCGATTTCTATACCTTAATGTAGTAATTTCTAGCTTTAAGCGTTTGTAGTAACTTGTGTTTTTTGTTTTATTTTTCTCTGTAGAAGCTTTTAATTTTTACACTTCCAGCTTCACTAACATATGATTCATAAATAAAAATTATCTATATTTAAGGTGTATAACATATTTTGATATATATATGTATACTTTGTAAAATGATTAGCACAGTCAAGCTAATTAACATATTCTTCACCTCACATAGTTATCTGTAGTTATTTTTTTAAATGCAGTTGCTGTCAAAGTGAAAATAAAATTCTTTTGCCATATGTGCCATCGTCCACACAAAATTTGGTTAAACTGATATTAATATGGGAGTATAATGATCTACAATGTTCTCTTCTTGAAAGTAAAATATATAATTTAAAGTGCATTTTCTAAAACTTGAAGCACTTCAGATGATTGTGTTTATCATATATTTATGTATTTCTTGCAAATGATTTTCATTACTTTATAATGATTTAATATTCTAAAAATATACTTTCCATTAGAAATAGAGGAAACAATGTAATAATATGTTTCACAATAAAAGACTCTTTTCTTTACACATTGTTACTCTGACATTAAATTTGCTGTTTTGGTCTCCCTACCTTATTCTAAAACAATTAACATTGATCTGTTACTGATAAGAACATTCATATAACAGAGAAAAACTTTTAAAATAAAAGAAAAAATATTTCTCTTTCACTCATGTATTCATTCAAATATATCAGGTTCTCTTTTTGTGCCATGAAAACGATTACACAGTTGAGATGTAGTAGTGAGCAAATAAACAAAAAGCTACCCTACTTAGGAAGAACATAATTTCAAAAATAGCATTTTAAATTCTATATTTATAAAGAAAATAAAACACAATTTAAAAGGTACTAAAATAAAGGGTTACTATTTTAAAGAGAATGGTCAAGGAAGTCCTTAAAAATAAGGTAACAGGTGATAAGACACCTGAAGGATATGAGAACCTGAACTGTGGGGGTACCAGGGAGAAGAATGTTTAAGGCTCAGGAATAGCAAGTCCAAAAAACTGCGCTGTTATGTATTTGCCACGTTAGAAGAACACAAAGAAGGTTCAGGGGCCTGGATCAGAGGGTGAAAAGGAAGAAGTAGTAGGAAATAAAGTCAGACTCTTGGAAGGGAGAAGAGAGTACCTGAAAATCTTTTGTGAGGATTTCAACTTTAAACATTCCAATATGAAACAAACAAACAAAAAAAATAGGAAGCCATTTGAGAGTGGAGGACAGAAGCATCACTCAATACAATCTCTCTATCATGTTTGGAGTGGATTGGGAAGAGGAATCAAAAGCAGAAGCATAAATAACAGCTTGCCGGCTATGAGATAATCTAGTAGAGATAATGTTGGCTTGATTGGGATTGATGGGATTGAAACAGATGTGTTGAGAGGCATTGGATGCTGGCATGTTTTGGAGGTAAAACAAACAGAATTTGCTATAGAATCTACTATAAGGCATGTTTGAAGCAAAGCATTAAAAAATGACTTTAAGATGGTTGGTCCAAGGAACTTGGAAATAGTAGAATTGCTAATTCCTCAGGTAGAAAAGAATGCAAAACAATCAGTTTGAATTGCTAATTTTGAATTGCTAAATTTGATATACCTATTAGAAATCCAAGAAAATGTGTCATGCATCTTTAGACATATGAATCTGTACTCTGGTAGATAGACTTGCATTCCCTGTGTGTGTGTGTGTGCGTGCGTGTATGTGTTCACACACACACACATATTAGAGAACTATAGCTTGATGGTATTTACATGTTATGGAAGCTATGAAACTAGGAGAGAAAAATTTAAGAAACAGGTCCAAATAATAAAAGAATCCTGAGGCTTGAGCCCTGAGGCAATTGAAATTCAAAAGTTGAATAGATAAGGAGAAAATACCAAGGACAATTTTTTTTAAAAAAGCTCATAAATAGATAATAAAATTTAGCAGTATTTAATATTGCAGAGCCAAAGAAAGAAGTCATTAATGGATTCAAGTGTTCCAAATAGGTCAGGCAAAAGATCTGAGTACTAACCATTTAAATAAATAAACTGGTACATTCAGATAATATTGCTCATTGCTTAAAATAATAAGCTATCAAGTGGTGAAAAAAACATGGAGAGACCTTAAATGTATATTACTTAGTGAAAGAAGCTAATCTGAAAAGGCTACCTACTGTATGATTCCAACTACATAACATTATGAAAAAGACAAAGCCATATATATAGTACAAGTTTCAGTAATTTGTCACTAGGAGTTGGTAGGAGAATGATGAGCAGGCAGAGCACAGAGAAATTTTAGGACAGTGGAAATACTGTAATTACGAATAGATACGATTATGCATTTGTCTAAACCCGTAGATTGTACAGCACTGAGATTGAACCCTTAAGTAAACCACAGACTTTGGGTGATTATGATGTGTCAGTATTGGCTCATCAATTATAACAAATGCACCACTCTGGTGGGGGGATATGGATAATTGGTGAGGCTATGCATGTGTAGGGGAAGGGGTTATATGGAATACCTTTGTACCTTCCCGTTGATTTTGAGGTGATCCTAAAACTGCTCTAAAAAGAATAAAGTCTGAAAACATACAAGCAGTATGTGTTTCATGGCTTATCTTCATTAGCAGTTTCAGTGGAATTGTATGAAAGAAAGATAATTGTAGTGTATTAAATAAAATATGGGATATTAAGATCAGGAGCAAAGCAAGGATGTCCTCTCACACTACTGCTATACAACAATGGACTAGAAGTCCTCAGTAGTAACCAAAGAGAATAAAATTTGTATAGAAATGAATAAAATAAAATGGAATTTATTTACAGATGGATTATTGTCTACATAGAATCCAAAAGAACCAATAAAATCATTAGTAGAGCTAATGTAAGTTAAGCAAGGTTTTGAGAAAAATGAGAAAATATGGTAGGATTATCAGACAGCAGTAAGGGCCCAGCAGTCACTGGTGGGTAATAAATTTAAAGACCATTTAATTTAGTTCAGTTTGTTTTTCTCCATCCCCATTTAGTGGCACAGATTCAGCCAATGAAACAGTAGAACGATCAATTTAATAAAGGTGACATTTTTCCAGGCATGTATTTTGGAGAAAGAAAGGAAATTGAGCATGTGAGGCAGGTAAAGAAAATACCAATGTTGGTTAGAATCAATAAATTTTCACATCTATTAAGTTAAAAAAATGTAGCCAGGGTACTTTTGGGAGAGAAATGGGAAAGTAGTTACTAGGAATGTTGGGTGCTTGAAACTGAGAATCAGCTATGGGTAAAATTCTTAGTAATAATATCACTGCTGAGGTAGTGTAGAGGAAAACTCCCTGAAAAGATTAAGGAAGTCAGAGGCTTTGATATCCTCTCGTTGTCAACATGAATATAAACATTACCAAATATTATGACAGGAATATTTTAACAAAAAGGTTAAATAACCAGGACATCTGTGGTTGATTGTAACCAACAAGGGTAATGAGAGGTGATAATCTGTTTGAAAAAGACTGAAACCTGGGCGTTTACAGTAAAAAATACGTGAGAATGGAGAAAATGAGGTACCTATACCCCTCCAGAGAGGGGCTGATATTTGGAATGAAAAGCAAAGTGCACATTCAGAGCACAACCAAGAGATTACAGAGCACTGTTACTTCGCTGATGTGATCCCTTTAGTGTCCTCAAGAGGATGGGACGCATGTAAATCCTACAAGAGACAACTGTATACGTAAATGAATACATTTGCACTAAGAAATATTACTTTAAAGTGTTCCAGATACTTCAATAGGTTGAGATATTAGAAAAATAAAGCATTTTCTTAATATGTTGCATTTAAATCCCGTAGTTTCAACAGTTGAGAGTATTGTCAGACACCATAATGATTTATTTATTTGTGTATTTATTTGAACCATGATAGTTTCAAGTATGCATGTTGTCTGCTGAGACCTCAGAATTTTGAGAATAAAATGTTTTAATCATGTTCTTGTTTTGTTTCCCGGTTTGCTTAGCCATATCTGAATAAATATGTTCCGTATTTCTGAGAATACATCCAGTTATATCACAAGATCTTTGGGGTGTTACTTCACCAGCTGGAAACCTCTGTGGCTGGTGGTACCTTCGCCCAAGTTTTTGCTCTGGCCTGCTGGGCTTGTTCTGCCTACTGGGTCTGGCAGGCTGCACTTGGCTTTTGCTACTGGCCGGGATCCCACACCTGCCAAAAGCAAGCCAGGCACGAAGTGGTGAAAAATGCGTGGGCAAGCAAGTGCTGGGTCCATCCGCTGCACACAGCCAGGCTCGCCAGCTGCTGTGGCGGGTGGGTAGCTCCAGGAGCCAGCAGAGGTGCCAGCTCCGTGAAAGACTGAGGCTGGACCAGATGTACAGCATGCAGGCTGCGGGTACCGTGTCTGGACAAGGGGAGCACGGTGATGCCTGGAAGTTTAGTGATGCCAGGAACCACAGAGCCCCAAAGAGGGAGTCACAAACCTGGCTCAGGGAGCCACGAGATCTGGGCTCCCCAAAAAGCCGCAGCTCTTCTCTCCTTCTCCTCACATGCAAAGTGACAATCAGGGGCGTGTGTTTCAGCCCTGTTTGTGGTTACAGCTCTTTTAGTCCCGCTGTGTCCGGAAATGGTGGGTTCTTGGTCTCACTGACTTCAAGAATGAAGCCGCGGACCCTCGCGGTGAGTGTTACAGCTCTTAAGGTGCCGCGTCTGGAGTTTGTTCCTCCTGATGTTCGGATGTGTTCCGAGTTTCTTCCTTCTGGTGGATTCGTGGTCTCGCGGGCTCAGGAGTGAAACTGCAGACCTTCGCGGTGTTACAGCTCATAAAGGCAGTGTGCACCCAGAGTGAGCAGCAGCAGGATTTACGGAGAAGGTGGGCGGCTCAGGCATGGCGGACTGCAGGTCCTGAGCCCTTTCCCGCGGGAAGGCAGCTAAGGCCCGGCGAGAAATTGAGCGCAGCGCCGGTGGGCCGGCACTGCTGGGGGACCCAGTACACCCTCCGCAGCTGCTGGCCCGGGTGCGAAGCCCCTCATTGCCCGGGGCCGGCAGGGCCGGCCGGCTGCTCCGAGTGCGGGGCCAGCCAGGCCCACGCCCACCCGGAACTCCAGCTGGCCCGGAAGCGCCGCGCGCAGCCCCGGTTCCGGCTCGCGCCTCTCCCTTCACACCTCCCTGCAAGCTGAGGGAGCCGGCTCCGGCCTCGGCCAGCCCAGGAAGTGGCTCCCACAGTGCAGCGGCAGGCTGAAGGGCTCCTCAAGTGCCGCCAAAGTGGGAGCCCAGGCAGAGGAGGCGCCGAGAGCGAGCGAGGGCTGTGAGGACTGCCAGCACGCTGACACCTCTCACCGCCATTTGCCAGGTCCAGAGTTCTTGTCCTACATCCAGGAAGAATGAAGTACGTGGACAACTGGAAAGTGAGTAAGGCAGAGAGAAGCTTCACTGAGTAACAGAACAGCTATCAGGAGACCTGCAGTGGGTAGCCCCTTTCCATAGGCAGGTCGGCCCAACAAGTCAGGAAGACCTGAAGTGGGTAGCTTCTTCCCACAGCTGGCAGTCCCCAGGGCTCTCCGAGGCTGACAGTGTCCAGGGCTTTTAGGGGCTGAGAAGAGAGGAAGTGCATGCAGATTGGTCCATGGGTGGCCATGGGCAGGTCTGGAGAAAGGGCCTTGTCACTCCTGACCTGGGCTCTAGACAGAACTGGCAGCCCGGCCCCCAGGCCTCAGGCCATCCCTGGCTTGAAGTTGAGGTTTCACCAGGCACCCGCCCCTTTCCGCCCAGGAGCCTGCCTGCGTCCTGCTGCCATGACATGCCATCCACAATGTCCAGGCTGTTCCTGATGAGGATCGCCTGCAGGCCCCTGCTGGGCCACCCTCAGCAGCCCCTTGGCCTCCCTCCCATGCTCGTGAGTGCCCCAAGTCTGGAATGGGCCAAGGCGGCAGGGGGCTGGCATGTCACTGCCACTCCTAGTGCACACACACCAAACAAGGTTGCAACAGCACCCAGGCTCAGTCACAACTTTGCTCTGCCTCAAGCAGGCTTCAGGAGTGGGGAACTCCAGGGAGTAGGAGCAGGCACTTCTGAGCCTACAGGGCAGGGAGGCTTCCCAGGACCCTGAGAGCACAGGGACTCCCTGGTCTGGAGCCATGGCTGGCTGGCTGCAGCTGTGTCCTGGAGGGTGGGGCTCCTGGCTAACCAACCTGGTAGAGGGTGGGGCTCCTGCCTGTTCCCTCTCCGGCACCGAGGTGCCGCAGAGACGCGGCGGCACCTCCCCAGCTGTAGCCAGAGTCTTTGTAGCTGCTTTGTAGCTGCTTTTGTAGCTGCTGCTCCAGATGGGCTGCTGCTGCCATCAGTTATATATGAAAACTAAATTTTTCCAACTACGGAGGAAACTTAGTTTCTATATTAAACTATATTCTACAGAATATAGTTTTAATATATAATTAAAATTACACAATATAGTTTAATATAACATTTTGACTATTTTATGCTTTAAAATAAAATCAAATATAACTATTTTTTATCATTTCATTTCTTAAGTTATATTTCACCAATACAAACCAATATTCATGCATTGATGCAGTATACATAATCATTTCAGTTAAATAAATTGACCTGAAAATTAATGATAGCTATTCCTTATTGTGTTAGGTACCATGAAAAGGGTTTTACATACACAAACTCTGTAAAGGTATTTAGTACTAAAAAAACAACAACACACATATGACAGAAATTTCAGTTACCACCCCCTCCCCCCTTTTTTTTTTTTGGAGACAGAGTCTTGCTCTGTCACCTAGGCTGGAGTGAAGTGATGTGATCTCAGCTCACTGAAAACCAGGTTCAAGCAATTTTCGTGCCTCAGCCTCCTGAGGATCTGGGCTTCAGGGGTGCCACCATGCCTGGCTAATTTTTTTGTATTTTTTAGTAGAGATGGGGTTTTGCCATGTTGCCCAGGCTGGTCTCAAACTCCTGAACTCTGGCAGTCCTCCCACCTCGGCCTCCCAAGATGCTAGGATTGCAAGCGTGAGTCACTGTGCCCGGTCCCCATTTTTAAAATGAGGGAAGTGAGGTACAGAAAGTTTAAGCTACATGTCCAACATGAGCAACTAAGTAACAGAGCTGAGATTTGAACCTAAGCAATTTAGTTCCAGATGCCCTGCTGCTAATCATTACATTAATTTGTTTTTTAGGTTATCTGTATGATCCAAATGAGATATATTAAAGTAATAACAAAGGAGAAATTGCTTCTCTGTCATCTAAAGCTTTTTGTTGTTGTTGTTGAATCTTAATGATTTTATGCTTAATTATTTTAGTGAATTATTTTCTTTTCTAATGCATAGACTGTTGGAGAAAAGTAAAACAGAATTCAGCTTATCAATAAGTTATATTCCTGTTAGTGTATTTCTGAGACTTTCTTTGAATAATATACATGAAGATGCATGTCACTAATTTCATTTCTGAGCATAAGCAACAACAATTATAAATAAAAATAAAAAATAGAAATAAAATCAATGACAAAAGTGACTTGAAAATCTGTTTCCACCAATATATGGGAAAATGGAAATAACTTGCAATTTAATAGCATAAATATCACTGTTTGAATTCTAGTTGTTCCCATTTATTAGCTTTATAACACAGCCTGGGCAAGTGACTTATTTTCTGGACCACTATTTTCTCACTTGCCTAGTGAAAATAATACTTCTTTGTGGTGTTATTTTGAAAGTTGATATTTGGAACACGTAACCCAGAGATTGACACATTCTGAGCATTTAATAAATGTCAGCAACATTATGCTTCAATCTCATCTTTTAATCAAAAAGCTTTCCTCGGGGTGAGGCAAAACCCTTGAATTTATGTTACTCTAAGAGACTATCCAAAAAAATCAGTCTATTGTTTTAATATTTGCACAAAATATTTAGAAACAGAACTACTGTGTTATGCTATCATCTGCTACAGGTTTTTCAAAATAAAATATCACTCTAAGTGGTATAATCAATAAACATAGTACAGACAGAACCCTGAAATAAATTCCTAATCCTGGTTGTTACTCTTATATTAGTCCTTTAATACTTAAATTATATTTAGAAAAGCCTTCCCAAAACTAAAATTCTTAGAATATCTACATTTTTATGTAAGTTAATTACATCATAAATGTAAGACATCATTAAAATTTAGAAAAACAAAAACATAAAGGCTACTAAGCAATGTGGCTTAGAATTCTCTCTAGCACTGTAAAATAAAAATAATAGGGGCTAAAGAAGTTTCTTTGATTTGAAGTGGCTTTCTTTGGAGAAGATAAATTTGATAGCAGATACCCAATTATATTATTATGGTCCATATTCATGCACAGGGCAGAAAATTATCATTAGTTTTCAAACAGACAACAGGATCAAAATATTAGAAAGAAAACAAATATTTAACTTTGCTTTCATAAATCCTTTATAATGCCAAAATCAGTAATGTCTGTTTAGTATCCAATTTTAAGGTGAATGAAAAAAATCCAAGCAGATTATTCTTTAAGTGTTCAATAATTTGAAATGCTGCCATCCTATTCTAGACTTTTGGAAAACAATAGTAGAAATGAATCAAGTTGCAAGGGATTCATCTACTGTAAGCTCCTTCTGAATCTGGACAAAATAGGAAGAGTTATGTTATATAGCCCTGGAAAAGTGTCATGTAGCATTGATTTACTACGTTAGTGACAGCACTAAAAAAAACAATTCAAACTACATAAGAAATAGCAAAAAGTGCAGTCTACAGATGTTTTCCTTTGGATAACATCATTAGCCCTGGGTACAACCTGAAGGCACAGACTTGTATTGAAAGGCAGCCATGAACCCCACTCAGTTCATGTGACTTCTTGTCTTTTAAAAGTATTTGTGAAAATTTCAGTTTACTTTAATATGGTTATCATGTTTATGTCACTATGGAATGTAACACTCTCTGTTATCTTTACTTTAAAAAAAGTGGTTGAATCAATGAATGTAGCACAACCTAGTAGAAAATGTATTATTTTGAAATAATGCAGCTCATTAATTTGAGCATCCAATTCTTTTTTTGTTAACTTTCATTTTAGGTGCAGGGGTACATGTGCAGGTTTGTTATATAAATAAACTCTCGTCACAGGAGTTTTGTGTACATATTATTTTATCACCTAGATATTAAGCATAGTACCTGACAGTTATTTTTCCAGTTCTTCAGCAATATTTTGGGAAGTGAAAGGCAGGTTCTCTTTATCTAAGCAACAAATAAGACATTAAATACATATGATGTTTTCTTTTTCTTTAATATAGAACAAATAATGATTTTTATATTAAAAGGTAAGATATTTTTTCACTTACCAATTAGAACAACGGCAACACAGGTTTTTCACTAATGCCAATAGACATCCAATTATTCATGTTCTCCTACTGCCATGTATCAATTTTAGATTAGTATTGCATTATCATTTGATGACACTCTTCTTCAAATAGTGATAGTAACTTTAATTTCATTCTATGATGATATTGGGATTTCATATAATAGAGAATTTTCAGTTACCCATAAATTCAAAATACATAGTATAGTTAAAATTTAATTAGACTGTAGCCTGAGGTATATAAATAATAAGGCCATTTAATTCAAATAATATGATACTATCTTATTTTCTTTATAAATGAGGTAAAGTTGTGGCCCAAATGAAAATAAAATGGTATCTAATTAAATTGTTTTAGATACAAAGGACATTTTCTATTATCATTGAAGAATTCGTATCTAAGCCTAAGAAATGAATACTCAAATAAAAAAATTTAAAATTAGAAATCAGAAAGGCTCTTTTTACCCCCATTTGATAAATTTATCATCTCACCCAAGCATCAAATATTTATCACTAGAGGATGCTACCTCAGATTCAGGACTGTTATCATTTCTCAGGGAAGAGTCACAACTCCTGAAGAGTTACTGCTTAGGTTAACAATAGTTTGTTTCATGGAACATCAATTTCTAAGCTTTTGAAAGAGCAATTTCACAAGCCTGCATGAGAAGGCATGAATATTGGCCCCCTTACAGGAACTAGGACCATGTGAGCAGGTATGGTGCCCAGAGGAAACTGTGATTTATCATGCTACTGTCAATAAACTACAGAAAGAGTTTGGGCCAAACAAATAGGAAGCCATGGTGGAGGGCTACGGTGCAAAGAAGCCAAGCAGCAGGGGAGCCAAACGTGTGCTGGGCTAATTTAATTTTTTAAAGCTGTAACTCAGCCCACACCTTAGGGACACAATTTCTCTCTGGCAACATTTTCTGTGAAGCTAAAACAGCTGCTTCACCTATCTCAAATCAGATACTGTGCTGTTTCAAGCAAATGTTTACCAAAAATAACAATTCTTAGGCATGCTTTTCCAGAAAATTTAGTTTGAACAAAATAGATTATCATGCCTTTAAAGTAAGGGTTGATATAAATAATATTTGCTAATAAAATTTTAATTTTGGCATTTCTAGTAACCTATAGAAAAAGTATGCAAATTACTAAAATGCAATGTAATAATATACAACCACATATTTTCATAATATATTTTCAAAATGATATGTCATGAAGGGCAACAGATTTAAGGAATACAAATCTCATAATTCTGAACATTTTTAACTTTTTATAAGTAGAGAAAATTTCTCAAGTATTTAAAACAGTGATTTATTAATGTTAATTTAATTATCATTATATTTTATCTAACTCTCATTCATTAAATAAAAATACAATTTCACAGGAATACTAGTCGTAAAATGTGTATTTTCTATTTTCTATTTTCTTTTGGATTTTTTAGCACATTGATTGAAATTGAAGAAACTGCTAACAAATTAGCATTATTTGAAAAGAAACTTTCCCTTTAATACATTGAAACCACATTTGTTTTCCATTCACTACAGGTTGTAGAATTCAGTATTTTCAACATGGTAGCTGGAGTAGCATTTGTTTTGTTTCTCAACTTTAAGTGCCATATCCTTCATAATCTGAAGTTTTAATCTCACAGATAGAGAATGAACACATTAACAGGATAAAGCATCTATTACTTATTGTATTTCTATATGTGTCAGCTGGAATCAAAATTACTGAAGCACAAAGCAAATTCAACAGCACAATGTTAGGTGACTCTTACATGCCTCAGGAATAGAGAAAGTCTACAAGACCTCTGTAGTGAAGGTCAGAATGTAAAGAAACCTATATCCAGGTCCAGGAGGTGCATAAAAAAATGCGAGAAGGCAATTTTTCTAGCTTCTGGCTAAATTCAGTGAGATGTCACAGTCCAGATGAATCAAGTTTCAGCAAGCAGGATGAATGTCAAATGGCTTATGCCAAAGACCAGCTTGTTCTTGGAGGATGCCTAGGGCCATTTTGTTCAGAGATTTCATGGAGGAAACAGTCTGCAATTGTAACTCTGAAAAGCCCGCTAAAAATCATTTTAAAAAATATTTCAGACACATTGAATTATAGGAAATGACTCACTAGGCCTGCAGCATCCTGAAAAACTTTTTTTTGTTGTTAGTCGAAAATTGTTTCAAGAGTAGAATGACTAAGAATAAGTGCATGTAGCATTCCGAGCCAAAGTTAGCAGATGTTCTCTTATCTTAAATGCTACATGAACACCAAGACAAACAGAATAAAGCATTTGGACTTCAGAAAATTCAGAGCTGGGTTGAAATAGAAATATAGAGAGTCCAGTTTTAAAGTTTTGAATATACCTCTCTTTTGAATAATGATATAACTGACAGTTATGTGCCTAGTCAGTCATAGCCGTAGATATGTGGGGAGTTATCATAGCACCTCTGGTCCTGCCATGATGACTTCTACAGTTTCAAACACCAGTGACATAGCTAACACACTAGTGTCATGCTTGCAATGCTCATATTACCCAACATTAGCCACACCGATGTTCCATCTGTCAGAGACATATCTGACACCAAAATAGCAAATGATGCTGTATTAGCATGAATTAAGAGAACAACAATTAAAGCCCCATCTATTTATTAAAAAAAATTGTCTAGACCTTGGCAAAATCTTGCTATACAAATAAATATTTTTGTTGGTGAGTTGTGTAAAAATATTACATCAAATTCTACTTAAAGCCTTTTAGAACAAAATATACTTTAGCAAATAAGATGTTGCTCTACAATACATTCTTTAAATGAAAATGTAAATAACTTTTAATTTTATTTAATGGAGAATTTCAAATGCACTTATATAGTAGGAAGAAAAATGGTGACTGTAGATGCAAAAATTAGTTACACATTATGTAAACACAGGATATATACATCAAACATTCCACTAAAAATAGCAAGAAATTGGAATTCCTTTGGGGCATAAAATATAATATTCCAATGGAAAATTAAACAGCTTAAGTGAGCATAAAAATAACTTGCACCAAAACTGATTTCCCTAACACACACAATTATAACTTCCATTTTCTCCTGTTACCAAATTATTAATGTAAGAAAACACTGAAGGAAACCACAGTTCACAGGTGAATTAATGAGGTAAATGGAGATGGGAGGAAGTCAGATTTCTATGTGTACACAATTTAATAAACAATTTTTTGCCACGTTTTTATTAATAGCATATATAAAGGAAGGGTTCTGATTTATAAATACTGTTACAAATTATCTACATATTTAGTTGCTATGTAATGTGACTGAAATGTCATTCCGTGGTAAGGTAAGTGGGAAAAGTTAACCTCTTCAACGATAACAGGATTTTATATGGCTTTCATTCCACTGAAAGTTTGTTTTATAATTTCCACTTTTCAGAATATAGGAACTTATGTTATTACTCTTGTCACCGTTATTAAAATTATTTGATAAATTTAACACAAAACATAAAATTAGGCTTCCAAGATTAATAATATTTGATTACCATGTGAGGATATTTATAGATTTCTCACCAAACCAGTTAGCTTTATATTTAATCTTCATGATTTCAAGTTTCATAAATAAGATACACCATGATATTAATACAATGTACATTTATTAAACATATATTAACTGCAAAGGAATAGCCTAATTTTTTTGTATTATTCAGTTTAGCTTAATTCCCACAGCAATCCCTTGAGATTAGTACTATTATTAGTTTAATTTGGATATGGGGATCTCAGTGACAAAATCCCCAAAATATTCTAGTGTCATGCAGCAGTGAAGCAGCAAGGCTGAGTTCCAGCCCCTGGATGCAGAGCATATGCTTTCTCTCTTAATGAGTACATATCTTTTACTTGTTAGTTATTAAATACTGCCATAGATATAATCTAATAAATCACATTTATACTGGGATTATTCCCACTCAGCCAATAGCCCACCTACAGATTCCTACTTCCTGCACTCATGGGAAATGCACCAAGATTTGGATTCACTAAAATCCAGCAGAATTTTGTATTAATAATTCTTAAATCATGTCATTCGGTAGTGAGCTTAGGCTCAAGTAGGAGTCGCAGGCATATGCGATACAAGTCTGTTTCCACACTGTTCTTCAGTTTGTTAATAATTTAAATAAATTTTAAACTTAAATGTTATAACCTATGTGTACTTTTTAACACTCATCTTGCATGAGTTGTCTTTTCATAACTGAAAAATAAATTGAAATTCTAATTTTAGCAAACAACATGTTAACTACTATAGTGGATCTTTTATTCACTGTAAATTAAGTAACCACACTTTTTTTATATTCTGCCAAGTCATTAACAAAGATCCTAAATGGTATAAAATCAATAATGAAATCCAGTGCCACAAACTCATGATCCTCTCTGCAGGTTCATAACAATCAATGTATTAACACTAGATACAATAATTTGATCAACAACTACTACTCATAAATTTTCTATCACATGTCCCCTTAGAATAAAATACTATTATGAAATGCTTAATCTAATTAACATGTAAACAAAATAAAGTCATGTTGACATTTTGTGAACTTAGATGTGCTATTCAGCTTCTTAATGTTATCATTTTCCTTCCAAATGTTACCACGTAACCTATTATATTAGCTGTTCTAAAATTTTCTTAGCAGTAAACACATAGATGATAAATCTGGAGGTTTCAGAATCCACCTTTTAACCTTTTTGCGTACCATATAGCATCTGTTGTGGTTAGCCAATTTTCTTCAACCTAAGCATACTTAAGTCATGTAGCATTCTGTGGTCACTTTTAATTAACATCACAGAAAAATAGTAACAGAAAACATCTCATTCAATAGGAATGACTCAAGAAATCTTTCCAATATTTTATTTGGATTGTAGGCGGAGAGAATTAAACATCTTTATCCAGGTCTTTATACAAATGAACAAACATAACTGCACAAGCTATCATCTTTCCCCACTTGTTAGAAATTATACAAATTTAAAATGGTTGGGTAAGAAAACACAAATAATATATTCAGCACAGCAAGTTGACAAATATAATTTAGATTTCATATTTCAGGTAGCTTTGGCAAAACCAAATTGGACAGAATTACTTTTGAACTGAAATTGTGCAGAAGCTATGGAGAAAGATGAGAGAAAAAAAAGCCAATATCAAGAAAGATCAGCCATAAACGTTCCCAGAAAGGAACAACCAAAATACTTGTGAAAAGGAGCAAGGACTATCATGAAGTACAAAACTAGCTTTCATCTGCAAAAACACTTTCTGGAACAAAGGTTGAGAAGGTTGATGATTGAAGTCCTCTGGAATCATTTTCAATCAAAGAAGCAGAGGTAGCTAAGTCTACACAAACAAACCAACAGGAAAACACTGTTTGCAGAAGCAAGTCTATCTCTGTTAAAGTATAGATGGAGAATATCTAAAGTTCAACCATGTCTCCTCACTCCAAAGATCCTTCTAAAAATACTTGACCATGAACTCTCACTCCATTTGAAGGGCACAAAAATAACACAGAACTGGTAGAAAATTAATAATAAGGATAATAAATCATGTTGAAAATAAAGGCAAATTTAAAAACTGGTGAAAATATTTATCAGAAAAATATTTGCACAGGTTTAGTAAGAAATCGTGCCTCACATACTGAATGAGGTTTTACTTCTATGTAGGAAGGACACATGGTGGAAATCGAAGAGTACAGGAAGAAATACAAAAAAAATAAAACGAGATGTGTCGTTAACTGGAAGATTCAGGAACGTAGTAGGAAAAAAATCATGAAAATAAAGACAATTTTAGAAAGTCATTGGGGGAAATTAGCAACGGTAGAAAACAAAGCATGTAGCAGGAGCAAGGATAGAACAAGTAATACAAGCAAAATGAAATGGAAGCTAAAAAGGAGTTAATAAAATTCAAGATCCAAAAGAAGAATATCAAATCAAAGAAAATATTTGAAGATGTAATGCAAAAACCTTTCTAGAACCTACGAGGCTGAAATGCTGATGATAGTAAATATCTGATTTATGATTAAGTAAAATGAAAGAAGGATTAAGATTTATCTAAACTGTGAAATATTTTTACAAAATTAATAGGATTTAAATACAAAGAAAAAAATGGGGGAAAGGAAAACCATCATGCAAAACATTGAGCTTCAGAATACTGGAAACGCTGTCATAAAATTTCAAGGAAATAAAATCTACTGGACAATATTTTACACAGTCATATTAAACTTTAATTATTAAAAGTTATATAAAAGAGTTTTTAAAAAGAAAAACTCAGAAAATAATGTCTGTGGGCCCTTTTATAGAAATTACTAAAAGATAAACTTTAACAAAATTAGAAGCTTTGAGAAAATTATAATAAATGATTGATATACAATATTGAATGTATAACCATAGAATTAAGAAAAAAAAACAACAAATGTGAGGTGTAGAATGCAAGAAGACAGCCTAAATATTTCAGACCTACAATATAAAAATAATACCCATAAGAAAAACAGTAGCTTACACTTTAATGAAGTTTAAAGATTAAAAAAATGCTGATTATATACTTCTATATAATAGACGTCTACAGGAATATTCTTTTTAGCTAAAAAAAATCTAGCAAAAATTTTGATAGTATAAATGAATTGAAAAATTAATAGAGTTAACTATTCTTATTTGATAGAGGATTTAGCTGTGAGAAGAAGAGGAACACATTACTGTTTTTTTCCATTTTCTCTTTGGTTGTCTTACTTTTGTGAAGAAAATAATAGATATTATATAAATAAATAGATTAGTAAGGATATTTATATATAAAGTAATTTTTATAAAAGATAAATAGTAGAAAATGGAAATTTTTCTAATATGAAACAACTATACACAAAATTTTAAAGAAAATTTGTCACACTGAAGTTTTTTTAATATTAAAATAGGAAAAATATAATGTTAAATAAATTGAAAAATAAAATCCAAACATATCACATAACTATATTAGTCATGCATGAATCACATAAAACAGCAAAAATTAACAACAAAAGAAGATACGGAAATACAATAAGAATACAATATCTTTTTATTATCACCTTTACTGAGATATAACTGACATGCTATTCAATTGACCTATTTAGAATGTACAGTTTCAGGCAGGCACAGTGGGTCACTTCTGTAATCCCAGTGACGAAGGCTGAGATTGGAGGATTGCTTCAGGCCAGGAGTTTAAGACCAGCTTTAGCTGCTCTCTCTATATGAACATGATCATTATATATTCAATACCACATGCCATGATAAATTGCAAATGTGTTGAAAGATTTAAATTTAAAAACAAAACTATCCAAAAATACGTAAAAGATTGGGACGTTTCTTTGAAGAAATGAATAAAGAAAATAATTTTTAATTATTATTTAAATACAAAATTGAATATAATGTAATAACAGATTGGTGAATTGACTTGTTAAAAAGAAACTTCCTATATTAAAACATATATGCATGCAAGTACACACACATTCACAGTTACACATGCCCCTTAATCAGTCAGAATATAAAAGACAAACCAGGAAATTAATATTGTATCTCCCACTTCAGATTAAGAGCCATACTTCCAAATATGTAAAGAATCCCCAAAACCAAAACTCAACAAAAAATGAGAATGTATATAAACAATTTATTTAAAAGGAAAAATAAATCATATATAAACAAAGAATTTATTTAAAAGGAAAAATAAATCAAATATGATCATTTAAATGCATGAAAAGATGCTTAACCTCACTCATAAAAAAGCACATTTTCATCTGTCTGGTTGGTAAGTGTGAGTACCTTTGTAAACACTTTCTCTTGCAAAGCTGTGGAGAAGGAGCAACTCTCAGTTTTGCTCATAGATGTTATAATCTAGTGCAAATCCTATGGGAAGCATTGTAGCAATATTTCATATAAACTTTGACCTACCAACTCCACTCTGGGTCTTTATTCAAATGGCATATTTGCAGATATATAGAGAAATATGTTTATAGTAGTATTTTACATTAGTGATTTTAAAGCTAATGATTATAGATAGTCTAAATATTAATTAAGATTTAAACAATACCTCCATATACAAATACGATGCAGCTGAGGAAGATTTTTATACTGTTATGGAATGCTCTCTAAGATGCATCTTTACAGTAAAAATGTATAGGGTAGAACAGTGTGCATGGTAATTTTTTTAATGGAAGGAAAGTAGAAAAATATGTCTGCATTTATTTAAACATGCATGAAAACTGTGCAGGGTAGAACAGTGTGCATGGTAACTTTTTTAATAGAAGGAAAGTAGAAAAATATGTTTGCATTTAATTAAACATGCATGAAAACTGCTGATACACTAGAAATGTAAAAGTATTTTCTCATGCATGGTAGCATGGCAATAGCAATCAGGATCGGGAGGCATATTTTTATTATATCTTTTTATGTTCTCAGATTTCTAAGCTTTAGGAATATATTGCCTACTTAAAAAACTAAAGTATGTTCATGGTTCAAATTGGAGTAATCTGTATCTGTATATCATCCTCCAGTCTGCTGCTGTTCTTTGCTCCCAGGAAGGACACAATTATCTTTTTATTTCCCAAGGCTCTACTAAGAAAGACAAATACAAGTGTTAAAAGAAAAATATTACAACAAATTTAGTTTAAAAATCTAATTGGCTTTTATTTGTGATTCTAGAATTTGGCAGCATTTCATTCTATAAAATATTATGAGTGCTCCCTTGGGCTTGGCAAAACAGGTGGCTTTTGCAAGGTGAAAATGAGAAAACGTAATTTTTTTTAAGAGTCAGGTTGATGAACAGTCAGTTGCTTTTGTTGTAGGAGTTAAAGTAGAGGGGACTTCTTTGCTACAGTGAGTCAGGTTGACTGGGCCCTTTCCAATTGGTCGAGGTGGATTTCCTGTTTTCAGAAAAAAAAACAAAAAACAAAAAACTGGTCTGTTTGTAAATTTACCTGCCTCTTTAAAGTTTCAGTTTGATTATGAGGCACCTAGCATAAGGGATTCTATTTTAGTTTGGTCTGTTGGGGCGTAGTACTGGAGTTCAGTCCAAATCAATGGTCTCCCATGCATTTTATTTAACGTAAGTAAGGATTTTGTTTAACTAAAGGTTTAATAGATATGGGAGGAGATAAGGAAGATAGAGGACATTGGTCATGGTGAGGAAGAGGTACAGTGTGCCTTAAAAGGAGGTAAAAGTGGCATATATATTTAAAAAATAGAAAAGTAGTATTAGATTCTTAAAATTAGACTATTAGATTAAACAACCTTAGTATTCGTTTTGGTTTTCTTTAACAGCTTGTACTTTCTGTTTCTTTCTTGTGTTGCAGGACTGATTCCTTATCCAACATCACTTTCTGGACTACCTAGAATCCAACTATCATGTGTAAGTCTGATAATCTTGTGCCCACCAAAAATACCTTTTTACGTTTTTATGCAAAGCAGCCCAGGTCCCTTTTATCTTAAACGTTTTATTACAGACAATGCCTTTCCTTTAATAACCAAAAGGTGATTAATGCATTGTACTAAACAAAAGACTAATTTACCTTTAGTCTCTACCTGTAGAAACAGAAAAAAAAACTGACAAAAGCTTGGAAATAACAGGTTTCCTGTAATTTCTTCCAACACATTGTTTTAGTGCTATGGATTTATTTAGATGACTTACCATATTATACTTTAATAATCTCCTGCCTAGCTTTTCCTTTTTAAAAACATTTTAAAAGAAATTCTAGCCAATGAAATATGCATACTTTCTGAACTTTTGTTAAAATTTTCTTTTATGATGTTAACACAGGGGAAGCAATTTCCTCATTTTACAAGCAACGATAGTTCAGATGCTTTCTGCTAATGTTAATGTATTGTTAATGCATACTTATTATATATCCACAATATGGCCTATTTACTAATTGCATTACCTGGCAGAAGCTATTTAATATTTCAGTTTCTGTCTTCTTCACCACAAAATGAAGAAAATAATTCAACAGTTGTTATGGGGAGTAAATGTTACCTTACTTGTTCTGACAGCTTTCACCAAGATGTCATCTTGTGGGCTAGTCCGTTGGACCTACTTGACCAATCAGACACTATCCTAATCTCCATAATGTGATACCTCCTGAGAGGCAGCCATTTGACACAGACACTTTTCTCAGTTTGCTCAGGCTCCAACGCCATGATCTGCTATGCAACTCTCTCCACAGTCTCCATCATGGATACCTGCCTTTTATTCCAACACCTAATGTTTTAGTATTAAATCATTCCATATGATAAGAGTAGAGAGGTGAAAGAGGAAGACTCATTCAACGGAAGTTGATCTGCTGTGTTTTCACAATTATTCCATACATAACATTTTCTAATATCTTTGTTACTTCTTTTTTTGACTCAGTTACATAGAAATATTTTTCTTAATTTCCAAATATATGAGTATATTCCTTATAATTTTGCTATTGATCTTTAATCTCATTCCATTGATTTTAAAGATTGTTCTCTTTAAGACTGCAATACATTGAATTTGTTAGGCCTTTCTATTGCCTATCATATGGTCACATTTGGTGAATTTTCAATGTGCTCTTGAGGGAAAAAAAAAGTGTATTCTAGAGTTGATTCGTTTAATGCAGTATAAATAATATTATGTTATGTTATTTTAATTTTTCTGAATACTTAGTGATTTTTAAAAAACCATCCATACCGATTTCCAAGAAGGAGTATTAAAACCTCCACTAGTAATTGTGGATGTGCCTATATCTGTTTTTAGTTGTCTCCAATTTTGAATTTTTTATCTTTAGTATGGAAAAATAAGCATTTTTATTTCTTGTAAAAATTAATTATTTATTATAAAATATCCGTTTTTATTAATGGCAAATATCTTTGTCTTGATGCCTACTTTATCTGATATTCAAAAAAACCAGCCTGGCTTCTTTATGCTTACTATTTCAAAATATATCTTTTCTACCCTTTTACTTTCATTCTCCCAGTGTCTTCATATTTAAAGAAATTAAAAAATAGGAAATGTATATGTATATACATATAATACATATTTCCACTTATAGTGAACATTTGTTAACATTTTCAGTGCTTTGTTTCATTATTGTGTTTGTTTCTGTTGACTATATTTTTCTTTTGGTTATATGTCTCATTTATCTTCTTTTTTCCGTATCTCAATTTTGTTTGTCTATGCTGGCATTGGAGGTTCTAAATTGTTGAGAGTCTGGATTTAATTTTATTTCTTTAGAGAGTTTTGAAATTTGTTCTAGAAGACAATTAATTTAGTGGTGAATTAGCTCTGTCTTGTGAAGGCTTATGTTTAGCTCTGACACTGCTGGTCTAAAGCACTGCACTTAAAACGAGACCTTCCTGGGACCACAATTGATTGTCTAGATAATGAGTGAGGTTGTTGTTCTCTAGCTGATTTTAGGTATAATGTCTCTGATCACCGTGAGACTCTAGAGTTTTTACATACCTCACAACCTTTTAGTAGGCTGTTCGCCGAGCTGATATCTGTTATCTCCCATACTTTATGGAGTTTCACATTGAATATTTTCAATTTAATAATGGACCAAAGAGTCAAAAAGACCTATTCAAACTTTTGGAGCTTCTTTTTTTCATAGTTATCTCATCTCTGGTACTCTGCCCTGCAAATTCCAGCTACATCAGCAAACCAGAATGCAGCTCTCTTTTATGTTGTTCTGTTTTAAACGTATTTCTCTGTACTGAAGTTTAGAAAACGACTCCATGTGGACAACCAGGGTAATTGTGGCACTCACCTAAAACGTTTCTCTTATTTCAACGATAGTGCTTTTATGATCTTTGTTGTGTAATGTACAAAAAAAAAGTTTAATGTCATCTACCATGTTTTATAAATGTATGCGATGTGAGAGTGAGGACGACACCCTCTACTCTGTCCTTGCTGGAATTGGAAGTCAACCATTAAGTCTTAATTAAGCCTTTCTCTTCAGCTTTCTTGTCTTCCCTCCTTATATTATCTCTCTATGCGATGTCATTCTTCAATAAATCACATCTCAATCTAACTTCAGTCTTAATTAGAGCCTTGAGTTATCGAACCCTATATCTAGGTTTTTACTGAAAATTTCCACTTGCATTGTCTACTAGAAAATCAAACATAACATGTTGATTCCAAAATTATTGCCTTTTCCACTGATTTCATTGTCCTACTTCAGTTCATTTTATTATTGACTTCTCCTTCAATCCAACTAAAATCTCTGAGATCAAAATATAATCCATCTCTCATAGTCCCTGATGACAACACATTTTCAAGTATTATTAATTTTTTTCTTTGTGATATATTTCACATCTGCTATTATAGTTGTTAGGAGACTTTAATTATATGTAACAAACACACTGACACTAATGTGGTGGAAATTTCCTCAAAGTTATATGTTGTTTAATGTAATAAAATACAAGGAATGCATTCATAGTTAGAAAATGGGGTAAAATATTGAAGGAGAATGTAGTCCAAACCCTTTACTTTCACATGCACATACACAGACACACACAAACACACACACATGCACAGACACATAAATATATGTACACACATACATATTTACTCTTCTTTGATTATCTGCTTCATTTCTTTTACTGCACGTGATCTTTCTTTACTCCACTCTTCAAGTGGAATAAAATGGCCATCCAGAAAACCAAAGTTTACACAGCAACATTAAAAGGACAGAATTATAAACAAATGTGTTAGCCCAAGTCTAAGTTCATAAGAAAGAATGCCATTAACCTAGATTATATAGTATTATCTCTACAGGTAAAGGTCTGGAAGAATGCCAATATTGCTCGGATTGGCTACCAAAAGTCATCTTTGTACATGCATAGCAGTGTTGGGTAGGATATTATATTGTAATAGGCAGAAAATTAATAGGTATTTATGACTTTTTACCTCCTAAATGCTCACAATATACGTATAAACGTTTTCCATATTGTCAAATAAATCTTCAACCAATTTTCTCATATAGAAGAAACTTCCATTTTAAAACTTCTTGCAATCTATCAAGTGTTATAGTTCCTGAGATCAAAACTGATTAAAAAAAAAACAAAGCTGAAGTTGAGTAAATTTTCGAATGAAACGCCAGACATTCATTACAGGCATACTGTGGCAATAGTGTCAATATTGTAGTTTCAGTGCCAGACCACTGCAGTAAAGCGAATATGGAAATAAAATGAGTCAGACAAATATTTTTTATTTCCCAGTGCATATGAAAGTCATGTTTACACTATACTGTGGTTTATTAAGTGTGCAGTAACATGATATCTTAAAAAGTGTACATTTTAATAAAAAATACTTCATTGGTAAAAGATGCTGACATAGGGACACAAAATGAGCCCAAGCTGTGTAAAAATAATGCCAATATACTTGTTCAATGCAGGATTGCCATAAACCTTCAATTTGTAAAAAGCACAATGTCAGCAAAATGCAATAACGTGAACCACTGTAGAGTGAGGTATGCCTATGTTTGTGACTTTGGGGGAAGTATTTAATATTGCTAAGGTTAACATTTCTTCAATGTCTGGTTAATATAGTACTTATCTCACAAGCTTGTTATGAGAGTATACAATGAAGAAAGTGCTGAATACAATACCTGTTATATGGTGTGATTCAAAAAACCTCAGCTCTATTATACCTATTTCCTGAACTGGATTTTAAACATTTAGAAGTTAGGGAATAATTTAAACTTTTAATGTTTCCTTACTTTTTTACATTGCCATTGCTTATTATCCTGATTTCAAAATGAATTACTGGTTTGAAAACAAAATTTTCTGGAGAAAATGTCTTTGACATCCTCCTGATACCAAACTCTATAGCCATTTTTATGCCCTATTATCCTGGTATTTCTTCAGCCTTTGTACTGAAAAAGACTACCACAATTTAAAAAAATTCCTCTCTTATTTTCTGTATACCCAGATTTCCAGTTTTCCTCTGAATTTTACTTCTCTGCTTCTGTTGCTCCTATTCTTGTTTTGAAACATTAAATATTGGGGGGAAGAACCACTTCAGGTTATGGTTCACGGTCCTCATTTCTCTTAGTCATCTACTCAACCATATCATCCAAACCCCAGGTTTATATATTAACTATATGCAGATTAATTTCAGATCCTCAGCTCTAGATTCTCTCCTAAGCTCTAGACTTTCAACTTCTATTACCTCCCAGAAATTGCTTTCCAAATACTTTGCTAGTTCCACAAACCCAATTTTATGAGACAATTTCAGCCTTCTCTAATATTTTGTCTCAACCCTTATGTCTTTCAGCTTTTAGATTTTTATAAATACCACCATCATTCTATCAGCTATATAGGATTGAACTCTAGCAATATTGTTAACTTGGGGATAGAACTAAACATTTGCAAAAAAATAAAAGTGAATTAGAGAGAGGGATGCACCAAAATAAAAACAGATACATAAAAAATTTATTACTTTGAAAATTAGACTTTTAATAATTTATTAATACATTGAACATATGTTTAGTGAAAAAGCACTAAATGGTAACATTGAGGATATACATCAGGCATATTCCAACATAATGAAAATTAACCATAAAGCTTAGGAGAAACAAGCAAACAGGAAATTACAAAGCATATTGTTAAGTGCAAAGAAAATGCTCTAGGAACATGTATGATGGACACTTCACGCAGTCTTGGAAACTTGGGCAATGCTTGCCAGATAACCTAAGATATGAAAAGAACCATGCATTAGGTTGAAAAGAGGAAAAAGATGCTCCTGGCAGAAGCAACAATATGATAAGAAAAAAAGGTTCACTAAAGTATACTAAATTGTGTCTTAGTATCAGAGACAGTTCAATAAGATTGGTTCATCTTTCTCAAAGGAGAGTGAGATATGGCAAGAGAGCTCACACAGAGTATTCACCTTTTATCATATCTCTATAGTCCCTATTATATGCATTAAATTTATCTATGATCTCATTATAATGTCACTCTATATAAATCATAATTGATAAAATATTATATTCCTGGTTCCATACATTGATAAGTGTTTTCAAAAATCTGAAGGAGATACAGTCTGGTAAAAATATAAGTGACCATGTAACATTTAGAAAAGTAAGTCTGCATAATTTTCTAAATCTCTTTTGAACTCTGCATCTTTTTATAATACAATTACTTGATGAAAGGAAGGTGGCATTTTAAGCTCCTTTTCATAATTCTATGCAACATTACAGCAAAGGTCTGTGCAGAAGATCAAAAGTGATCTTCAATGTAGGAAACTATTTTGTCATGCTAGAAAGCTTGTTTGTAGTTGTCGTGAAATGCCAATAGTGACTTAGAATGCTATTTCATGCTCAGCAATTTTAAAGAAAATATTAAATTTGTCCCAGTTAAAAAATTGGCCTTTAGCCAAAAGTTACAGCTAGTTCAAAATAAGGAAAAGGTATTCTTGCAAACATTTTTGTGCTGTATTTCAAGGCAGGCATTATTGTGTTAGGACATATTAATTGATCAGATAGAATGAGAGGATGGTGCTTTACCCACAGCTACAAAGGGAAGAGGAGGGAGAGAGAGGGAGAGAAGGGAAAAGATTTTTTTTTGGCATAATATTGTGTCAACAACAGCCTTGGATGTCCCTCAGATTATTCCTGGACATTGTTTACACATGTTGATCATCTGTACCAAGATAAAATAATGATGCTGAAATTATTGTCTAAATGGTAAAGGAAACCACAGCTAATGCAAGATAATGTGTTGCTACAAAAAGCAATTTATTTACCAACTTATTTAGAACATTTTCTAGAAGCATGGTTACAAACAATCCATGAAAGTAACACATAATGATGTTTTAGTGGAAGCACATGCTTATTAAAACGCTAACTCTGCTTCTCTCCAAGCCTTGAAGCATTTTGCATATTTGGTTGGCTATTACATTTAATTGTGAAACTATAGTTTTCCAATTGTGAAACTATAGTTTTAATTACTTAGAAATATAATTGAGAATCATCAAAAAGTCCAGTCTAAACATGAAAATGCATTTATACCACTAAAATTATGATTCTGTATTTTAATTAACATAAATAATATAACTTTCTAAGTTATATTGATACATTTCAAGTTCTTATGAGATTAACTTCTTAGTTTTTATTGTGTACGATTGCGTAAAGGTAACTTAAAGTGTGATGCCATTTGGTTAACCTAAACAAGAGTAGGATGGCTGAAAGGAATATTATGGATTCAGAGTACCCTTTCAGAGGCTTATCTTTGCATTTAAAATGATATAATTTTGTTTAGCACAATGAACTCTTAAGAAAAAAAATACTTTAAAAATAAAAATTGCTCTATGTCACTAATTTTACTCGAGCATTGTAAATCTAATAAATTTCTATATATAATGATTAATGTTGTTCACCTCTCTATGTGCAGATATACTTGCAAAGTGAAACTTATTTTAGTCATGACTTTAAATTTTATGCAAATAAAAAACAAATTAATTTATCCACAATACTTTAATTAAATGGGTTAAAACAATCTTATTATTGATTACTTATAAGTACCCTGCACACACTGTATGCAATTCTTCAAACTGTGTTCTAAAGCACACACTTGCATAGGATGGGTGAGAATTGATATTCTAAGTCTTGTGTATTAGTTTAAATAGTAAACCTAAATATAATATGTTTTATCTTAAATATGAGTTAAATTAATATTTAAAAACAGGATACAGTTGAGAATAACAATTTGTTAAACTGATTAGCTAGGCTGAAAAATCTAGAAAAAATGAGAATTATTCAACTTGATCACATTATATCTGAATAACTTCTCATTTTCTCTTAAACTGTTACATTTGCTGTTTTATGAACTATAATATGGAATATCTTATTTACATATTTCTATTACTGACATGTAAAAATGATATTCCTCTTAAGTGGTCAAAGTTGCAAGGACAAATACTGAAATACGATTTTGCATTAGAATATGTAATCGGTTCCTTTAGGATAATCTTGATTCTAGTTGTTGCACGCAGTTGAAAAGGTTTGTTGCATTCGTTGTTGAAAGGTTAAAAGTAGTATTGCTAGGTAAAGCTATGCTTAATTTATCATGTACTCAAGGGGCTCTTTTAGGCTGACGTACTGCTTAGATATGATCTTGTTTGACTGTATTTATTTTGCAATTGAAATTAATCCTTTTGTATTGAATGACTTTTATGATAGAAGAATGAGGGAATCAAGACCTTTTTGGAACATTTGGGTATATACGTGTGTATATATCCATGCATACATAAATATGATGAAACGTTCTATTTGTTTTACTGTATCAGAGATCATTTTATCCACCAGATTTCTAATTTCTTTAACATATTTGACTCATGGCTTTTAAATACCTAAACTAACATTAAGTGTGGAATTTATGCACAGAAAAATGTTAAGATGTGGGTGACTAAATTATCAACTGAACCAAAAAGAATAACAAAAATAAGCCAGCAAAATATCATTTATTGCGGATTTGAGATCAAATCTGCAAATCAATACATTTAGGTAAAGTGAATCAAATAATTGAGGTTTACTACAAAGGACAGGATTGTTTTCTACCACAGATACTAAACCATTATATTATAAAGGCTAGTAAATGTGTTTCCTCCTTGGGACTCCAAATTGCACATAGTGACCCTTTGAGAGTAAGTACTCCAAATTGCACAAAGTGACCCTTTGAGTAAGTACTCAGAACATAATGACATAATTAAAGACTTTCTATAATTTTCCATTCGCTTGACATTAGAATTAGTATGTTCTTTTTTAAAGGTACACATGCACACATACAAAGAGATGCTACTACCAATTGAACAGTTATTTATGCCAAAACTAAGTAATGAAATAAAATGCATCTATATTTTTCAGAAGGAAAGAAGATTCAAGAGAATTGCATTGTCCTTCAATGCTGTTTTTTTTTTTTTTTTTTTTTTTTGAGAGGGAGTCTCGCTCTGTCGCCCAGGCGTGATCTCGGCTCACTGCAAGCTCCGCCTCCCGGTTTCCCGCCATTCTCCTGCCTCAGCCTCCAGAGTAGCTGGGACTACAGGCGCCCGCCACCACGCCTGGCTAATTTTTTGTGTTTTTAGTAGAGACGGGTTTTCACCGTGTTAGCCAGGATGGTCTCGATCTCCTGACCTTGTGATCCGCCCACCTCGGCCTCCCAAAGTGCTGGGATTACAGGCGTGAGCCACCGCGCCCGGTCTCAATGCTGTTTTAAAAATGTACTTTGCTCCTCTGGATATAGTGTTTGGAGTCGTGTCTTTTATACCTGTGGGTCGCTGCAGCTCCCAAAGACAACACCTAGAACCAGAGGTTCAGTCACAAACACCTTACACAAGAGCTTGTTGCTGATACTACATCTTCTTACTATTTGCATCATGAGTTCCTTTCTCAAGTAAATTCTTCTCAATGGCATTCAAACATTTTCTCATCTTTAATAAGATGATGCTATTCAAACCAATTGTCTATATTGATGTCTCCACTTTCTCATTTCCCATTCTTCTTTTTTTCTGTATTTATATATTGTTGTGATTACTAAGACTATACACAAATTCTTGAAAAATCATATAATGTACATGCCTTTCTTCAGACTACTGTCTACAGACTACAAAGTAACACAATGTAAATAATATATTTGCTTCCCATCTTTTTCATTATGAAAACAAACTACAAATAAAGTTGAAATTTCATGCGGGTTTCTTTCCCAGTTCTAGTACCCGTGTAGTTCTCCAAAAACAACTACCATCATAAATCAGCCATATAACCAGGAAATATATATATGTTTATATGTGGGCGTGTGTATGCACTCACACGTATACACCTATATATGCATACACATACACATGTATGCATGCACACATGCCTGCCCATGTACCCACACACAGAGACGCATTTTAAAGATGAGGAAACTTGAACAATTAGAAACAGAGTGTTTACAAAGCTTCCTGAAGGTCACAGAACTAGTTATTGATGGTATCAATATTCAAATACCATCTCACTCAGGAGTTCATGCACTTAACCAATACTTCATGTTAAATTAATATTTGAAACTACTTCTTGTGCATCTCTTTAATAAAACTCATTAGATGCATGCCATATACCATCAACTTTACTGGAAAATGACAAATATCTTCACTAAGAGATTGTACTAATTAATATTTGAGAGAGCAATTATATACAAATTTCTCTTTTCCTACCACATTGTTGCACTCAGAATGTAGATTTTAGATTTTAACCAATCCAAATGTGCGAAATAATTTTTGTTTTAATTGGACTTTCTTCAATAATTAGAGGTTGACACCTTGTAATATTTTCAATTTCCTCTTCTCTGAATTGCATATGTATTACCTTTGATAATTATTTGTTTCTAGTTTTTTCTAATTTGTAGAAATTTCTTTTTATATGCTCTTAATTTTATTCCTCTATTTTATATGCTGAAAATATCTCCATTCACTTTGTACCTTTTCTTCGAAAATAGACTTTATGTTTCCTTTGTCATAGTATGTTCTATGATTAAATTTAATAAAATTACTATTTTATTTTATGAATTCTGTCTTTTTATTGTATAAAAGAACACTGATAAGTTCTCCAATTGCTTTTTAGTTTTTAACTTCACTATTTTTCCTTACTTCATTAGCAAGTTATTTAATTGTAAATTGTAAGAAAGGTATCAATTTCTCTATCCTTTTCAATTTATCAAATATTTATATATAGTTAGGTCCTAGAATAGATACATAGATTATAAAACAGAATGAATGTAGAGTTCACAATCTGGTCTAATAATATGTAGTAACTGGAAATTGAGGAGGAAGAAGGAGTAGTAATTACATTGTTGGCTACAGATCAAGGAATTCATCAACCTTTAATTTTCTAAGTTATATTACCATGCATTGATTTTGAATTTTATTTTTTTCTACAACCATTTAAATAAACAGGTGTTTTATTTATTTTCCTTAAATAGGTTAATACAGACAGAGTTTTCATATTGGGTGTCTTTGTTTACCTGAATTAAGCTATTCTTGGTTATTATGTTTTAAACATCTTACTGCAGAGCTCAATTTATTTGTTAACATGTTATTTCAGGAGATTTTAAAATATTTTAAGTGAAATTAATGTACCTATTTCTTATAATGTACTATGTTATTTTGCTTTTAAGATTTTAATACCGTGTACTGAGTTGAATGGCTTTTTCTCCTTTTCTATTTTCTGAAATAGTTTGTAGAAAATATGAATTATTTGCATATTCAGGTGCAATCAACTTACCTGCAATATTATTTGGACCAATATTTCTTAGGGGAAAGACTTTTTAAAACTGTGATTTATTGTATTCAGTGTTCTTAATATTCGTTGGTTTTCCTCTTTCCACTTTGATTTTTTCCTCTAAAATTCACAAGTTTTCATCTATGTTTTGAAGTATGTTTGCAATACTTTCTATTTTTAATTTAACAAATAGTTATTTAGAGTCTCATATGTGTCTAGCATTCACCTATATGTTTAGAGACTTTATGAACTTATGGCCTCCTTTTTACTTATATTGTTATTAATGTCTCTCTCTACCTCTCAGTCAACCAATCTTGCTTTAATTTTGCTTACTAGTAAATGTTTATATGAATACACATTTGATGTTCTTTACCATATGATGAATAAGATAAATAACACACACAGCATGTCTCCAAAAATCAAGCTTTTTATTTAGGAAAGCAATTTAGAGTAATAGATAAGTAGGTAACTAGATAGGTAGACTTATCAATCAATCAACCAATATATAGATGATAGATAATATTAAAAAATCAGCAGGAGTAGTTTAGAAAATGATTCCTGGAGATGAAGAAATATAGGATAAGTTAACAACATAGAAAGGATTCCTATACTATAAAACTTTAATGACCTAGAGGAAACAAGCAAATTGATGCAAAAGAGATTTAGAGATTTAGAGAAACGTTTTATTTAAAGGAAAAGAGAAAAAGTGGTGCTGATTTCTGTGTATTCAACTTGTTTTTTTTTTTTCAGATTCCTTATGTAAGTGAAATCATGTAGTGTTTTTCTTTCTGTGTCTGACTGATTTCACTTTTCATAATGTCTTGAATAGAATGGTGGTTCTCAGAGTTGGGGACAGGAGAGGAAATGAGATGTAGGTCAAAAGGTACAATCTTGTAGTTAGGTAGAATTAAGTAAGTGTAGCAATCTAATGCATAGCAGAAAGACTACAGTTGTATTGTATACTGAAAAATTTCTGAGAGTCAATTTTTAAGTGGATTTACCACACACATAAAAAACAAGTAACTATGGAAGGTGATGAATATGTTAAATTGCTTACTTACTGTCATTATTTCACTATCCATATATGTGTGTATATATATATACAAACACATATACATATATATATTACAACACATCATGTTGTACACCTTAAATTTATACAATAATAAAAGAGTTTCTGCTAAAAATGACAGTATATTTTCTAAATATTCCATGATTATCTAATGGTATGGAGGAATGATCTCAAAATTTTGTTGCAATAGAAAGCTTTGTCATTATAATATATTAATGATACACTGACAGGGGAACAAGCTTAGAATGAAACATAAAAGGACACCGTACTCACAAAAATATTGCAAAGCAAATAAGTTAGCATTTTCCTAAAGTATATATAGATATGTTCTTTATCTTTTTTTTTTAATTGTACTTTAAGTTCTGGGTTACGTATGCAGAATGGGCAGTTTTGTTACAGAGGTGTACAAGTGCCCTGGTGGTTTGCTGCACCCATCAACCCATCATCTACATTTGACATTTCTCCTAATGTGATCCCTCCTCTAGGCCCTACCTCCCGACAGGCCCCAGTGTGATGTTCCCCTCCTTGTGTCCATGTGTTCTCATTGTTCAACTCCCACTTATGAGTGAGAACACGTGGTGTTTGGTTTTCTGATCTTGTGACAGTTTGCTGAGCATGATGGTTTCCAGCTTCATCCATGTCCCTGCAAACGACATGCACTCATCCTTATTTATGGCTGCATAGTATTCCATGGTGCATATGTGCCACATTTTCTTTATCCAGTCTATCATTGATGGACATTTGGGTTTGTTCCAAGTCTTTGCAATTGTGAATAATGCCACAATAAACATATGTGTGCATGTGTTTTTATTGTAGAATGATTTATAATCCTTTGGGTATATGCCCAGTAATGGAATTGCTGGGTCATATGGTATTTCTGGTTCTAGGTCCATGAGGAATCACCACTCTGTTTTCCATTATGGCTGAACTAATTTACACTCCTACCAACAGTATAAAAGTGTTCCTATTATTCCACAACCTCTCCAGCATCCATTGTTTCCTGACTTTTTAATGACCACCATTCTAACTGGCATGAGATGGTATCTCATTTTGGTTTTGATTTGCATTTCTCTAATGACTATTGATGATGAGCATTTTTTCATATGTCTTTTGGCTGCATAAATGTCTCCTTCTGAGAAGTGTCTGTTTATATCCTTTGCCCATTTTTTGATGGCGTTGTTTTTTTTCTTGCAAATTTGTTTAAGTTCTTTGTTGATTCTTGACATTAGCCCTTTGTCAGATAGATAGATTGCAAAAATTTTCTCCCATTCTGTAGGTTGCCTGTTCACTCTGATGATAGCTTCTTTTGCTGTGCAGAAGCTCTTTAGCTTAATTAGATCCCATTTGTCAATTTTGGCTTTTGTTGCCATTGCTTTTGATGTTTTAGATGTGAAGTCTTTGCCCATGCCCATGTCCTGAATGGTATTGCCCCAGGTTTTCTAGAATTTTTATGGTCCTAGGTCTTATGTTTAAGTGTTTGATCTGTTCTGTTCCATTGGTCTATATATCTGTTTTGGTACCAGTACCATGCTGTTTTGGTTACTGTAGCCTTGTAGTATAGTTTGAAGTCAAGTAGCATGATGCCTCCAGCTTTGTTCTTCTTGCCCAAGATTGTCTTGGCTATGCGGGCTCTTTTTTGGTTCCATATGAATTTTAAAGTAGTTTTTTTTTTCCAGTTCTGTGAAGAAAGTCACTGGTAGCTTGATGCGGATAGCATTGAATCTATAAATTACTTTGGGCAGTATCGTCATTTTCGTGATATTGATTCTTCCTATTCATGAGCATGGAACGTTCTTCCATTTGTTTGTGTCTTCTCTTATTTCCTTGAGCAGTGGTTTGTAGTTCTCCTTGAAGAGGTCCTTCGCATCCCTCATAAGTTTTATTCCTAGGTATTTTATTCTCTTTGTAGCAATTGTGAATGGGAGTTCATCATGATTTGGCTCTCTGTTTATCTGTTATTGGTGTATAGGAACGCTTGTGATTTTTGCACATTGATTTTGTATCCTGAGACTTTGCTGAAGTTGCTTATCAGCTTAAGGAGATTTCGGGCTGAGAAATGGGGTTTTCAAAATACACTATCATGTCATCTGCAAACAGAGACAATTTGACTTCATCTCTTACTATTTGAATACTCTTTATTGCTTTCTCTTGCCTGATTGCCCTGGCCTGAACTTTGAATACTATGCTGAATAGGAGTGGTGAGAGAGGGCATCCTTGCCTTGTGCCGGTTTTCAAAGGGAATGCTTCCAGTTTTTGCCCATTCAGTATGATATTGGCAGTGGGTTTGTCATAAATAGCTCTTATTATTTTGAGATATGTTCTATTGATATCTAGTTTGTTGAGAGGTTTTAACATGAAGGGGTGTTGAATTTTATCAGAGTTCTTTTCTGCATCTGTTGAGATAATCATGTGGTTTTTATTATTAGTTCTGTTTATATGATGGATTACATTTATTGATTTGTGTATGTTGTACCAGCCTTGCATCCCAGGTATGATCATGGTGGATAAGCTTTTTGATGTGCTGCTGGATTCAGTTTGCCAGTATTTTATTGAGAATTTTCACATCGATGTTCATCAGGGATATTGGTCTGAAATTTTCTTTTTTGTTGTCTCTCTGCCAGATTTTGGTATCAGGATGATGCTGGCCTCATAAAATGAGTTAGGGAGGATTCCCTCTTTTTCTATTGTTTGGAATAGTTTCAGAAGGAATGATATCAGCTCCTCCTTGTACCTCTGGTAGAATTCAGCTGTGAATCTGTCTGGTTCTGGACTTTTTTTGTTGGTATGCTATTAATTACTGCCTCAATTTCAGAACTTGTTATTGGCTTATTCAGAGATTTGACTTCTTCTTGGCTTAGACTTGGGAGCGTGTATGTGTCCAGGAATTTAACCATTTCTTCTAGGTTTTCTAGTTTATTTGCATAGAGGTGTTTACGGTATTCTCTGATGGTAGTTTGTATTTCTGTGGGATCAGTGGTGACATCCCATATATCCTTTTTTATTATGTCTATTTGATTCTTCTCTCTTTTCTTCTTTATTAGTCTGGCTAGTGGTCTATGTATTTTGTTGATTTTTTCAAAAAACAAGCTTCTGGTTTCAATGATTTTTTTAAGGGTTTTTCGTGTCCCTGTCTCCTTCAGTTCTGCTCTGATCTTAGTTATTTGATGTCTTCTGCTAGCTTTTGAATTTGTTTGCTGTTGCTTCTCTAGTTCTTTTAATTTTGATGTTAGGGCATCAATTTTAGATCTTTCCTGCTTTCTCTTGTGGGCATCCAGAGCTATAAGTTTCACTCTTAAACACTGCTTTAAATGTGTCTCATAGATTCTGGTACATTATGTATTTGTTCTCATTGGTTTCAAAGAACATCTTTATTTCTGCCTTCATTTCATTATTTACACAGTAGTCATTCAGGAGCAGGTTGTTCAGTTTCCCTGTGGTTGTGTGGTTTTGAGTGAGTTTCTTAATCCTGAGTTCTAGTTTGATTGCACGTGGTCTGAGAAACCGTTTGTTATGACTTCCGTTCTTTTGCATTTGCTAAGGAGTGTTTTACTTCCAATTATATGGTCAATTTAGAATAAGTGCGATGAGGTGCTGAGAAGAATATATATTCTGTTGATTTGGGGTGGAGAGTTCTGTAGAGGTCTATTAGGTCTTCTCGGTCCAGAGCTGAGTTCAAGTCCTGAATATCCTTGTTAATTTTCTGTCTCGTTGATTTGTCTAATATACAGTGGGTTGTTAAAGTCTCCCACTATTATTGTGTGCAAGTCTAAGTCTCTTTGTAGATCTCTAAGAACTTGCTTTCTAAATCTGGGAGCTCCTGTGTTGGGTGCATATATATTTAGGATAGTTAGCTCTTCTTGGTGCATTGATCCCTTAACCGTTATGTAATGGTCTTCTTTGTCTCTTCTGATCTTTGTTGGTTTAAAGTCTGTTTTATCAGCGATTATGATTGCAGCTCCTGCTTTTTTTTTCTTTCCATTTGCTTGGTAAATATTCCTCCATCCCTTTGTATGTGTGTCTTTGCACGTGAGATAGGTCTCCTGAAGACAGCACACTGATGGACCTTGACTCTTTATCCAATTTGCCAGTCTGTGTCTTTTAATTGGGACATTTAGCCCATTTACATTTAAGATTAACATAGTTATGTGTGGATATGATCCTGTCATTATGATCCTAGCTGGTTGTTTTGCCCCTTAATTAATGCAATTTCTTCACAGTGTCGATGTTCTTTACAATTTGGTATGTTTTCGCAGTGGCTGGTACCAGTTGTTCCTTTCCATGTTTAGTGCTTCCTTCAGGAGCTCTTGTAAGGCACGACTGGGGGTGACAGAATCTCTCAGCATTTGCTTGTCTGTATAGGATTTTATTTCTCCTTCGCTTATGAAGCTTAGTTTGGCTGGATATGAAATTCTGGATTGAAAATTATTTTCTTTAAGAATGTTGAATATTGGCCCCCACTCTCTTCTGGCTTGCAGAGTTTCTGCAGAGAGATCTGCTGTTAGTCTGATGGACTTCTCTTTGTGGGAAACCCAACCTTTCTCTCTGGTTGCCCTTAATATTTTTTCCTTCATTTCTACCTTGGTGAGTCTAACGATTATGTGTCTTGGAGTTGCTCTTCTTGAGGAGTATCTTTGTAGTGTTCTCTGAATTTTAATGGTGGTCTGTCTTGCTAGGTTGGGATGTTCTCCTGGATAATATCCTGAAGAGTGTTTCCCAACTTGGTTCCATTCTCCCCATCTCTTTCAGGGACACCAGTCAAACATAGATTGGGCCTTTTCACATAGTCCCACATTTCTTGGAGGCTTTGTTCATTCCTTTTTATTTATCATTTTTTGACTTTATGATTTTACTTCTATGAGGTGAAGAATAATTACCTTGAATAAACTTAACTGTTTTTATAAAAAATGTTATCTAACTCGCCATGTTATGGCTATGTACCAGATCAAACCCAACAAAAGTTGGAAATATTCACAGATCATTTTTATGCTAAAATAAACATGCCAATATACCCCATCATAAATCTCAGGAAAGGTTTATCATGTCAACCTCTGAGAGATCGTGTGTTCTACATTGATAAATGAGGATGTGAAACTCTACCCCCAAAATTTAAATTGTGTTTTGAAAAAGATGAGTCATCTAAGTTTTACAGTGCACAAAACGCAAGTTCCCTCCAGGCATGATGGCTCACCCCTGTAATCCCAGCACTTTGAGAGACCAAGGCATGAAGATCACTTTAGCACAGGAATTTAAACCAGCCTGGGCAACATAGGGAGACCTCGTCACTACCAGACAAAAAAAGACAACAAAAAATTAGCCAGACATGGTGGTGTGTGCTTGTAGTGCTAGCTATCTGGGAGGCTGAAGCAGGAGGATAGATTGAGGCCAGGAGGTTGAGGCTGCAGTAAGTCGTGATTATGCCACTGCACTCTAGCCTGGGTTACAGAGTGATACTCTTGTCTTAAAAGGCAAAAAACACACAAAACACACACACACACACACACACACACACAAAACAAAGGGACAAGTTCCTTCTAAAGGAACTTTACAAGGGAGGATATTTTTTCAGAGTTGCAGTAAATGAAAGAAGTAGCAGAAAATTAAGTACCACAACTATTCAGATTTGAGGTGATACATTAGATATTTTTCAAAGAATATGAGTTGAATATTTAGTCTGTCTCAGTTACTGTAATTGAATTATTAGTCCTCCTCAAACTTCCTCATAATTAGAATTGCATCTCAATGTTAATAATGTACCTCCTTAATTTTAATTTCTATTTCTTTATAAGTGTGACATACAAACATTTTAATGGGAATATAATTTTAAAGTCATTTAAAAACATATAGCTGATAAATATTAGAAATATTTTGCTGCAATATAGCATCTCTCATATGTATTAGTTTTTTTAAGTTAAATATGAAATTCTCCCTCTGCAAAGACAGATAGGCTTTAAATTATCCAATAGGTAAACACGATTACAGTGGACTAGCTTTCAGCTCAGTGAAAGCTACTTGTGTTGACCTAGATATTTCTTTGTCCCAACCTAAGATACCTGAATTTGAAGGTGTGTCTGGAGCAACTTATCAGGGTAAGCACAGAATATATAATGCTGTAGGTAAGCATGCTGCATATTTAACATTGCACATGACAAGGATAATTGATTTTTCTTAAGAACTATTTGCAGAAAAGGTACTTGGGCTTGAACTTCTTAAGTGATAGGGTAAATTTTAAACTATTTCACATTTTAAAAATGTTGATAAGGCAATGGTCCATCAGGAATGGAACTAGCTGATACTGCCTACCAATATTTAAGAGGTAAATATCCACCCTGAAGCCATGCTTAGGAGGGATGTTTCACAGTGTAGCTTTGAGAGAAATTCTTCAGAGAAGAGAGGCCGAGATGTATTTGACTTCAGTTCACTGGTCAGGCAAGCCTGAGGGTAAGACATGGGATTTAAATTGTATGTTAGCTTGAGGTTTTCATTGGGTTGAACTGAACTGCTAAAAAGAAACAACTCTTATAGCTAAGAATAATTGAAAAGCTATGGAGTATGCTCATAATGTTATCAAGTGGAGAGGGATGGATACTCAGTTGGTGCATGTGTAAAGTCTATGGAGAGAAAAAAAGTTTTCTAATTTATATTACCATGAATAGAGATTATTCGTAAATTACTGTGTTCATACCTGGAGAAATAGATTACTGGTTTAATTGCTGCATAGTTTTTCATTATATGATTCACTTGAAACTCTAAAGGTTACAAAGTGTGTTTTGCCTTTACACATATACAATAGTTTGTTGAGAAGAAGTATCATTGTATTATTCAGAATTGTTTTATTATGCTATAATAACAAATTCCAAATCTCAGTGTCTTTTTTTTTTCTTGTTTAGTTTTTGAGACAGTCTTGCTCTGTGGCCCAGGCTGCAGTGCAGTACTGTGATCTCAGCTCACTGCAACCTCCGCCTCCCAGGATGAAGCAACTCTCGTGCCTCAGCCCCCTGAGTAGCTGGAACTACAGGCGTGCGCCACCACACCCAGCTAATTTTAGTATTTTTAACAGAGTTGGGGTTTCACCATGTTGATCAGGCTGGTCTCAAATTCCTGACCTCAGGTGATCCACCCACCTAAGCCTCCAAAAGTGCTGAGATTACAGCTGTGAGCCCCTGTGCTCAGCCCTCATTGTCTTAAAACAACATACATTTTTACTAAGTCTAGTATGATTTCAGAAAATTCTGCAAGACACTAGAGTCCACATAGCCACTTGTGATTCAAGATGTTCCCATAGCTGAATCTTTGAGCTGGAACATGCAGCTTCTTTTGTGTACAGAGCAAATACAGAGAACACTGGATTTTCATTTATAAGCCATTAAATGCCATGGATTGAAATAACAAATGACATTTCTACCCACAAACCCTTGGCCAGAAAGTCGCATGGCCCAACTTAAATATAAGGAGGGCAGAGAAGTACAATCACCATGTGCTGGGAAAAATCTAAAAATTGGATGATATTTAGCACTAGCAGTCATTTTGTAGCCAGTTATTAGCTATGGCCACCCCTTTGAGTCATATATATTTTAAAATGTAATGACATGACCTAATTATTTTTTAAAGTATTGTATCAGTTCATACTTACACCAGAGGCATGAGTTACTATTAACTCAGTTTTACCAATCTTATTGTCATTTCAGCTTTCTGCTAGGCAGATCCATGTAACATGGTAACATATCTGTAAGGCATCCTCATTTCCTCTTCTACGAATTTCCTATCCATGTCTTCCACAAATTTTCCAGTGGTGTTTAAATTTGTTTATATTGGTACCAAGAACACTCTGTACATTCTAACTACTAATGCTTTTTCTGCTCTATATGTTTAAATGACTTTTACCATTTGGTGTCTTTGCTTTTAATTTTGTTTTAAAGCCCATCACTTGCATAGAAATATTTACTATTTTCTAGGGATATTTATTAAAAATCTCCTGGCTGGGTGCCATGGCTCCTTGCCTGTAATCCCAGCATTTTGTGAGGCTGAGGTGGGAGGACTGCTTAAGTCCAGGAGTTTGAGACCATCCTGGGCAACACAATGAGACCTTGTCTCTGTAAAAAAAAATTTAAAAATGTGCTGGACATGGTGGTGCATGCCTGCAGTCCCAGCTACTGGGTGGGGAGTGGGGAGGTTCGGTGCGGGGAGCATAGTAGGAGTGGGGACAGAGTAGAGGCTGAGGTGGAAGGATCGGTTGAGTCTGGGGTATGGACGCTTCAGTGACCCATCATCTTGCCATTGCACCCCAGCCTGGGAAACACAACAAGATTGATTCAAAAAGAAAAGAATTTCCTTCTTAAAATGTAAGCTGTCCTATTGCTGACTCTTCGGACAGTTCAGTTACCAGCTGTTCTCAAGGCTTTTGTCAATCTTAATTGTCTTAACCAGAAACTTTATCGATAATTTCCACCTTCTCAGACAGTGGAAGTTTAGTAATATTTTAAATGGATTTGAAGAGTTATTTCGTACTTGAAGAGTTAAATAACCCAAGAAAACACCTTATTAAACAGGACTATAAATATATGCCTCTGTTCTGATAATTGGAGAAATTAGATGCTGGAATGATTTTATATTCTATAGTTCTTCCCACATCATCTTCAAAACTTAAAGTGTAAGAAGAAAGACAGAATTTTAGGAAAAATAATTAAGTGAAGTTGAAGTAAAGTAGATAGAGAAAGTCATTTGGAAAAGTTGAGATACTCCTAAAATACCACTTATTTCAATAAATAATTTACGTTTAAAATTTATAAAATTAAAACAAAATTTTAAAAAGTTTAAAAATGTATAGTCTAAGAAAGTACATTAGAAAAATTCAAGGATATATTGTTCTCTATAAAGAAAGTGACCACATTTTTCAAAATAAAGTGTAAAAATAATGAAGGGTCTATACTTTATAAGAACACTGAGAGAAGAAAATGTTTGAATCATATTGTTTGCCTAATTGGAATTTAATATTTTCTTTGAAGCACTATCCTTAAAAATATATCATCTTATATTTTATCGTTCAGTGATAAAAACAATTAATTATGATTGTATACACAAACACATATTCAGTTACTCATTATTTCATTTCAAAGTCTCAATTAAATCAAGTAATATGGCCCTGAATCGATTAAATATTAACTCTTGTGGTTTTAATTATTGCAGTGTTTATTCTCAAAGAGCAAACAGTCTCTAACACACTGTTTATGAATTCTAGAGTTGTAAGAGGATATTTTACCACTGTTATTTTTGAGAATATCTTATTTTCCCTAGTACACTGAATTAAGTGGTATCTGTGATTACTTCTGAATTTAGGACACTTTTTGCTAATTTACGAACTGAAAATGAATTATTTTCTTTATTCTATAAAATAGAAACTTTAATTGCACTGTAAGAGCTGAGATTTATCATCACATTTAATTGAGTCATCAGATAATTATTATGTATGATTTGTTATTTTTATTTTTTGAAGCAATTTCAGGCAAGATGTCAGAGATACGTATGAAAGTACTGTATAATTGAAATCTCTATTGTTTTCATTAAAAGCAAGATTTCAGTTTCAATGTTCAGTACATGTTCAGGCTTCAGTGGAGTTTAACAAACTATGCTTAAACCCAGAATAAAGAAAAATAAAACTTTAGAAAGCTGTCAGTTTCGCTCTTTTTTTTTTCAGTTTCTTATTTTTCCTCGTTCTTCATCCTGTCTTACTTCTCTGACTTAATGTATTTAAGTTTACTTCAATAGAAATCACATATAAAATTAAAGAAAAATGATGAGAATAAAATGCCAGTCGTTAATTAATTATTTTAATCAATACAGATAATCAAATTGTTTAATTAGAACCAGTAAAAAATGTCAAATGGCAAGAATAAGTTTTCTGGTTTAAACTTTATTATCAAAGTAGTCTATGGCAAGCATCTATGTCATCCAAATATAATTCTTATTAACCACTAGGAAGTCTAACATTAACATATTTTGGCATTTCAAAGTTCTACATTCTACTGACAATATTAAAACAAACAAAATGCAAAGTAATATTTTATTTTTTCATTAGAATATAGAATTCAGAAATTTTCTAGCCAAAAAAAATTAAGAAATTACTGATTTGAATGTCAACAATTGATAGAAATATGTAAAGTTGCTTTATTTAAATACTTCAGGAATGAAATATTTAATATTTAGTGACAAAAAGATAATAATTTGAGAAATAATGCCTTATCTATTTAAGAACCACAATTCAAACAGATTGATGACTCAGGTGTACAAAAAGAACTGAAGGTGGGGCGCGGTGGCTCACGCCTGTAATCATAGCACTTTGGGAGGCCGAGGCGGGTGGATCACGAGGTCAGGAGATGGAGACCATCCTGGCTAACACGGTGAAACCCCGTCTGTACTAAAAAAATACAAAAAAATTAGCCAGGCGTAGTGGTGGGCGCCTGTAGTCCCAGCTGCTCGGGAGGCTGAGACAGAAGAATGGCGTCAACCCTGGAGGCAGAGCTTGCAATGAGCCGAGATCACGCCACTGCCCTCCTCCAGCCTGGGAGACAGAGCAAGATTCTGTCTCAAAAACAAACAAACAAACAAACAAACAAAAAACAATACTGTAAACATTAGGAAGGCAAGAAAATCTACAATACTGGTCTGCTTTGGCAGTTCCATGAAACAGGACTGGCTTTTCAGTCTTTCCTTTTTCTTAAGTTATCTCAGGAGTCAAGACATGCAAATTCCTCCTGGCCTGTCTTGCTTCCCATGAGACAGTGGTTAATACCTCCTCAGAGCAACCAAACCAATTAAAAGTCATTACTGACAGAGAAAACTATATCCTATTAAATTTGAACCCTGCAAAGTTATGGAAAAATAGAACAGTGGCAATATTTTCAAAATTATCAGGACAGTAAAAAACTCCAGTAGCAAAAAGAAAGTGCAGATTACATTAAGAAAATATCATGTGGTATTGAATGAATATTCCACATCAACCCAATAAAATAATATTATTTTAAAGGCAGTCGTGCCTCCATTACAAATATAAGTGCCAATTGGTACTGGAAACTGTCCTAATAATTCACAATTATTAAAACACTCATACTAACTAAATTAAACCTGGATTAATCTTGTAAGTTTACTGATTACTAAAATATGAAGATCTAATTTACACTCAAATTTTAATCCCTTATATATACTTTATGGGGAAAAACGTTACTTCTGTATGCATTCAACATGTAATAAATTTTCATAACCAAATTAGCCCTATGCTATTCCATAACAAGCTATTTATAAAACTATATCAAAGAATGGTCGGGCGCTGTGGCTCACGCCTGTAATCCCAGCACTTTAGGAGGCTGAGGCAGGCGGATCATGAGGTCAGGAGATCGAGACCATCCTGGCTAGATCGCGCCACTGCACTGCAGCCTGGGTGACAGAGCGAGGCTCCGTCTCAAAAAAAAAAAAAAAAAAAAAACTATGTCAAAGAACCTCTTTCAATGACAGGATGGTCAAAAAAGTCATATACTTTTTCCAGTTTCAAAGTTAGGCTATATTTGTGAAAGTGTGTCTTAAAAAGCACCTAAAAACCAATTGTCTAAAATTGGCTAGGCTAATGATAATGTATAAGTAATCTTCATTTTTGAAGTTTTATTAGAAATTAAAAGTTAATTACAATATCTTAATATTTGCAATGAGTTACTTGTGAGTTTTTATGCATATTTTCTCTTTCACTATACGGATCTTAATCATACACTGTATTTAAAAATTGAAAGCTTAACGACATATTCATTCATGACGGTCACTTTAAAAGTGGATTTGACACTGAATAAGGCTATTCGAATGTTTTCTATGATCTGATCTGTAAAAGAGTAAACGCGATTTTCATCAGTACTATTTGCAGTTTTAGATAAAATTAACAATAATGCCCTATTTTTTATCTAAATAACTAGACATTTAAACTATCATTCTCATTTCAACGATAAGCCATTTCTTTTCTTTCTCTGTTGTGTCTTCCTTTTTCTAAACTTAGTAAATTAATGACTGCTTTACATTGGAATGATTTGTAATTAAATTCTCAACAAAAAGTGTGTAAAATGCATTTAATCCGAAACAATAAACAAGTATATGATTAATTGCTTGCAATATGCCTGGCTTTAATGTGTGAAAATGAAGATGATACAGCGGCTCAATGCCTTCAAAACAATTCAGTATCCACCTGGTATAAGAGCTCGTTATTTACTGTATACTTAGCCAATCTTTTTGAAAGACTTTGAAAGATCTCTTATGGAAATAACACAATAGTCTTTTTATTCTAGTCAAATTTATAATATTTCATCTTTATGTTTAGCATAATTGGACAGAAGACATCCACAAAATATTAAAAATTCTAATATATGTGAAGGTGATTATCAAGTAATTCAAAGATGCAACTAGCAATTAGGAAACCCCATTAGGCAACCTTTATTGTCCTGGGAAGTATTGGACATAAAATAACAACAAACTCACTTTATTCCCATTCATGAATACACATCTGAAAGCAGATTTTGTTCTTAAACTTAGTGTAAAAATGAATCCTTCGAAAGTTCTAAAATGTACCTTCTTTAGAAGAAACATGCACATTTTCAAACAATATCTGTTTGCATATGGACATTCTCTCAGATTATTTTTTCACTAAATCACAACAGTCTGATCTCACATTTGGAGAAGACTACATGGAGTAGAAAAAAATGCTATTCTTATGTATCCTCAACTCTCTGTGTCCTATGATTTTTTTCAGATACGTAAACTGACTAGCACAGGTTTCAGACAGGATATTCATTTTCTACTTGGCAGTAAGAGCATTATTGTCTATACACAGACACTTTGGTTTGTTTCCCTAATCTTTGTTTCATAACGGTCCTCTGTCTTTTATAATTTGTCAGTAGAAATCTGGTTGTAGGTGGTATTCATATAAGCCAAAATATTGTCAGATCATATAAGCAAAAGAAAAGATTTGAGGAAAAATTCTTATTTTACAGAGTACTGGGTACATTTATTTATTCATACTAAGTCATTGGTGGTTTTTGAAGATATCTACCACTGCAAGGTTTCTATTAGTTGATACTGATAAATTTTTTAATTGGAAATACTTTTACTTTGTATAAGACATGTTTGTAGATATGATTTACAGCCTTTGTAGCTTGACAGGACAGTGACAAACTGTTGGCTGTTAGTGACATCATCACTTTATTTCTGATGTTATTTAAATTATATAAAATGAATATACCCTTTAATATTGAACAAAGTATCATCGAAAATGCATCATGTTTAAAACGTTGTGCAATCCCAAAATGTAGATTAATTTTGCATTTAAAAAAGAGAGGAAACAGAATTTGTTATATAATTCATAAAATCACTACTTTTAATATGATTTTTCTTTTACTGTAACATTTTAAAACTTATAACATTTTAATCCTCAGATACCACTAAAAATTAAAGAAAAATCATTGAGTTATTTGGATATTTGACAACATAGAATACCATTTGTTAAATAAATAATCAGATGCTGATTTTGTTTACTATCTTTGCAAATAGGTTTTGTTATTGCTTCGAGTTTGATTTCTAAATGTTTACAAGGCTCCTGTCAAATATAAAACTCCATAATACTATTCCTATGGACTATTTAAGAAACATACAACCTACTATAGTATAAAAAGAAAATCGGAATTACTACCTATAATGTAATTTTCTTAAAAAAATACTACCACTTTGTTATGTATCAGAAAACAGTAACAAACATAAACAAATAATCTAAAATAAAAGATATGACTTATGTGTTTGGAAGTACATCATATCCTAAGACTTGTTGAGGAAGTAAGGTCTCTGAATTTCCTAAGTATATTTCTATGTCCCTGGAGAAGATTGCCCATCTCCACCATTGATGATACCAATTGTACAGTGTTCAAAGTTGGTTTTTATAGATATTATCTTTTCTCCTAAAATATATCTTATACAAGTTATAAGCTTAGTGTGGGATTTACACTTTGCAGTATGTACTTTTAGGGCATGACCATCAAGTTACTGGATAGATCTTGCCTAATAAAATGGCAAACAATACTGCCTAAAAATGAGAAAAAACAGCCAAACAATTAACTGCCGTGACCTTGTTATGCGTCAGAGAGCATATAGTCCAAGTTGCTGCTCACAGCTTCCTTATAATCAAGAAGAAATGTACTGAAGACATGAATTCTGGGTGGGACACAGGCAAGGCGGAAATAATCTGTGTACTTCATGCTGAACCAGTTGCAAAATGCCCAATCACTCTGGAATATGTAATAGGAGCTGATAAATCTCCTTCATTGTAAAAGTCAGTTGGAGTTCAGGGTTTTTATTAATTTCAAGCCAGAACCTCCTTTATCTTCTTACCTTCTTAGAAATTTGTCCTTCTATGTGTTTACCTTATGGAAATATGAGTACAAGTGCACAAAGCATTATATAAAATATATTAATTATAGAAATATTTGATGAAATGTTAAACATTGTTCTCATTTTATAGTATAATGTACTAGTACTATGAAGTGTTACATATCAGGTAAAATAATAACATATATCTAAAGTGCTAATAGTGAAAACATTGTAAATTTTAGAAAATGATGCAGAAAGTGCTTAGACAATAATTCCATTTGTGTCAATTAAAAAGAAATTTGGCATAAGTACATAAATATATATATAAATATTATATATATATATAACTTGAAAGGTTTGTGGCTACACTCTTAACAGTGCTAAACTCTAGAGCAAACAATTGGTTGTAGGATACAGTAAAGGATATGAAAAGGATTTTATTTTAAAATATACTAATCAATTTTGTAAAGTGCCCTTTATTTTTAAATAGTCATGTATCTACGGGCTTTATGTGTACCTGGAACAAAATTAAGTGGGTATTAAATCTTAGTAATGTATTGAAAGATAGTATTATGTGTTGTCACAAAATTTTATTAGCAATAGGCTCTGGATTCTAAAATGGTTTAATCCTGTAATTCCCAGCAGCCAGATACTAGTAAAATTTGAGGCATGATGAAAGCTTTCCTATCATGAATTTGAAAGGTAATTTGCATGACTGTTGTCACAGAGAAGGAATAGCACAAGGGCTAGAAATAACTAGTAAGTGATAGTAGGGTAGATCTTATAGATATTAATATTTACATAATAGATTTCAATTCCTGAATCCACAGTTAGGAGGATTTGCATCCTGCTAAACAGAGATTCTAAATAGTTATTAAGTATCCTGTTTGCACTTTGTAAATGAAAATATTCATTTATAATATACATATTCATGCATACAAAGAATATATATTTGATACCTACTTACTGTGTGTCAGACCATGTGGTAAGTTTAAAAATAATTTACAGCATTATATGAATAGTTTTACTATCAATATAAAATTGTATAATATACACAATTAACATGAAAAGGTAAAAAATTAGATATATGCTTTTAGATTAAGTCATATCTAATCTTAAGTGTATATGTTAGAATTATTTCACTAGTAATATATGAGTTAAAGGATGTCATATCAGTTACAAGTAAAATACATAAGAAAATATACATAATTGAGCTATATTTCAATTTAAAGCTAAAGAACATCAAGTATACCTATACTATTTTGTTTTGAGTCTTTACTAGTTATTGATGTTATTTTCTTAAATTTTGTTATTTTTAGATAATTTATATATATATGGTTATATACATGTATCATAAATATGTATATCAGAGCACATACACGTATATACATACAAATACATTTTTGTGTATATATATACATACAAATATATTTGTATGTATATATATATACACATTTTCAAAGTTCATTCACATGTCTAATTCATGTGACTATTTAAATTCTATACCATATTCCGATTATACTTTTAGAAATTCCTTAAGTATTTTGTAAGCATAGATACTGATTAGTATACCTATGCTAATAATAGCAATTTAGTAATTGTCATTTTTAAAGTCAACAAGAAATTTCGATGTTACATGGTTATATACTTGAGAGTAAGTACATGCTTCCATTACCAACATTATAGTTATTTCTGTACTTCAAATATTGTAATTAGAAAATCTGGAAATTCCATTCCAGGGAATGCCAAGAAAACGCATTAAAAATTAACATAAATCTAACCACAGCATTTATCTGAATAATAAATCCCTAATATATAATCCTAATAATTCTAATACAATGAGTAAAGAGTATTGCATTACTAAAAATACAGTATAAACAACTAAATCATACACACATAAGTACAAAACATAATTTTATACTAAAATTAACATTTGACTTTATTTTCTTCTCACAATGTAACAAATCATATTCAGAGTAGACATTTTTAAACCTTATTAAACTAAAATTCCATTTAATATAACGAGCCAATAAAAACTATACTATGGCATTTTTTAATTTTGTTCAGTTTTACCTTAAATTTTTTTACTTAAAAAGCTTGTATTATTAAAATGATATATGTTTCTAAATCATGGAAGTTCAGTGTACCACAAAGTAGACTGAATTCAATTGGAAGTGAATGGTTCATAAACCTGAGTCATCTCAACTCAAGCTCAAGTATAACCACACTGGGAAATTGTGTTGGATGAATGAATACAGTAAAGTTCACAGGGTAAGCCTGATTGAAATGAATTGTCTTCCACAAAGGCCAACAATTTTCCCAGTGGTTGCTGATAAACCTTCTGAAAAAAAAAAATCTACCTGTTACAGTTCTCCTCAACTATTAAGACACACTAGTTATAAAGGTAAATTTAAAACATTTGATTATTGGTGATAATATTGTGATAATCTTATGATAATATCTTACTTTTTTCACACATATGTGTTATATCCATATATATTTGTATCCATATATGTTCTGTTTATTTTTTCTACTAATTTGTAAATCATTTCAGAAGACTCCTCACATTGAAGCATAATTCCTGAAAAAAAAAAAAGAATACAGAGAATTTTAGCTTAATTTATCATGGTGAACAGATAAATCGTGCTACAAGAAATATATTGGAAAGGCACTGAATATTCATAGATTATTAAAGTGTATATATGTAGATACAATTTCTTAGAAAGTAAATACAAAAATAGCTTGGGTTATGCTTAACTGAAACAAATAGAGAAACAGCAGTTCCGTCTGTGGAAACAATTCATTCTATTAAGTGATTTAATTTAATTAAAATGTAGAGTTATGGGTTACAGGGCAAATTTCAAAACAGTCTTCCAACAAAACTTTGCTGATAACAACAGAGAAATATAAAAACGTAGCGATAAATGCATTCCTAAGAGAAATAAGGGAAAGTCATCTACCACCTAAGAGACAGTTTGAGATCTGTTGCCAGATATAATTTGAAAGGTAGACAGCAATTCTTCTTGTAAAGAAAACAACTGGTATATCAATGAAGTAAGCAGTAAAACCACAAGTTCTAGAATCAGGAGTGACTCTGAAATTTAACATTCCACTTGACAGCCCATTCACAAGCCTATTCAAAATATTCAGAGACTGCTGGTGGGGCCAACCTATCCATATAGAATAGATATTCAGAACTACTATTACTATTAGGAGTTGGCTCAGCTATGAGGCAATGAATGATAGCTGTGGGATAAAGGCCTGACACAGACCTAAGATGTACTGGAGTAAGGGTTAAACACAATATTAGATATAAAAATGTGTCCTTGAGTACATTGACTTCACTAAACACAGAAACTCCACATAGAACTGGGTTTGTGCATGACCCTGGAGTTTTCTCCAAACCCCTCAGGTTTACAGATGACTAGACAGTTAATATAAACCCACATTAACCAGCCATCCAACTTATATTTCAGAAGGAGGATTTAAATAGCATATTAAAAGACAAGAAATATATATGCATAGGATTTTGAGCAAATGTCAAGATTGAATAAACCAATATTAATGCAAAGTTAAGTAAAGAAATAGAAAAATTGAGAATCAGAATAACAACTTCTTGTTTAACAGGATTAAATTTTGAAATACAGAATTGTGTTGAGCAAGATCTAGCACTGTCTTATTGATGCTGTGGGGTCCAAATACTCAGTTTTTTTTTTAAACAGTTTTCTAATCTGCAAAATGAAAACAATAGTATCTATTATGCTGGAGTTGTGAGGATTGATTTAAAATAAGCAATATATATATAATAAAAGCCGAGGAAAAAACACTACTAGCTTATAAATGGAGTTCACTGAAATCCACAACAATCTAAAATTACATAAAATTTCATGCTTAAGATGTAACATTTAATTTTACTACTCAAAATGTAGTAAAAAGCACAAAACAATTTTACTTTTCATTTTTAAAGTATATTTTTGACACTATTTGCCCCAGCAAAGTTCAGGAAAATCAGTATTGTTTAATATAATAATAAACAAGGAGATGATGGTGCAAAATAATCAGGAGATGGGAACACTCTTTATGGTAAGAAGGAAATGAAAATAGAATATAACAATAAACTTATGGGTATGAATTTTAACTGTCAAACAGGCAAAGATCTTCAAAACCGACAATATCTGGGAGTGACATCAGCAAGATCACAGAATAGACAGCAACAGATTTTGGCCCAGCACCCAGAAATACTGAAAACAAGTGTAAACTGTCAGAACCAACTTCGTTCTATCTCTAGAAAACAGTCGAAGACTTACAGTGATCAAATAAATGTTTAATCAAGAAAAAGGCAATCTAAAATGATAGGAAACCTTTGTGACTTTTTCAGATGTCATAGCCCCACCTCTTTCCTGACTCATTGACAGCCCTTGAAGACAGCAGCCTGTGTTACTAGTATGGAACCCTGGTCTGCAGGCAGCAGAGCAAACCTCATTCAAAAATTAGTATTTATGTCAGGGGTCACAAACCCCTGGTGTGGACCAGTACTGGTCTGTGGTACCAATCTGTGGCCTAGCAGGAACCTGACCGCACAAGAGGAGGTAAGCAGTGGGCTAAGGAACATTACCACCTGAGCCCTGTCTCCTGTCAGATCAGCTGTGGCATTAGATTCTCATAGGAGCACAAACTTTACTGTGAACTGTGCCTGTGATGGATCTAGTTTTCACGCTCCTTATGAGAATCTAATAATACCCAGTAATCTGAGGTGGAACAGTTTCATCGTGAACCCTGCTCCCTCAGTTTTATCTTCCACAAAACTGGTCCTGGAGCCCAAAAGGTTGGGGATGGCTGATTTATGTATTTTCCAACCTCCAAAGAGCTACAGGAAGGATTGACTAAAGGTGTTCATCTCTGTTTTACTTAACTTGGAACTCATCCAGTTCACAAAGGCAGAAAGCCTTGCCTGGAACAAAAGATTGCAGTTGAGGAATGCAGTTGACAACCTAAGCCCTAACAGGAAAAGCTGAGAAAAGATTCTTTGGGAATTTAGGCCACTGAAAACACCTGCATATGTGGTGCAATTTAGAAATCCACACACATTCCCAGGACAAGAGAGAAAAGACCTGAGAAGACCTCAGGCTTTCACCTCTGACTGCTCCCTAGGCTCAGTGAAAGCCTTGCTAAGTGTTGAAGAAGGACTCTAGCACAGAGTCCATCTACAAAGACTGGGAGAGGTTTATTTGCTTTAGCTTCTGGTGTTTCAGAAAATCTCTGTCAAAACACAAGCTAAATGTAAGCTATGGAACGGTCACTTCAGTCAATGCAGTCAACAAGAAATATAATCTTTGTTAAAATAGTTTGGAAAAGTCACTACACAAATGGACCAATACAACCTTCAATTAAAAAATAAAAACAAAAAGGAAAAATGGAAAATCTGACCCCCAGAGTTCCCACATTATCATAATCAAATGTCTAGTTTTCAAGTTAATATCACAAAGCATATAAATAATCAAGAAAGCATGCCCCATTTGCAGGAATAAAATAAATTGATAGAAATCTTTCTGAGGAAGGCTGGTATTGTTTTCACCAAAAATGGAGTTTATATCAACTGCCTTTTATATGCTCAAAATTCTAAAATAAAATATAGAATAAAAATGAAAGAAAAGCAAGAGATTAATGTATAAATAAGAGAGCATATCAATAAAGAGATAGAAATTAATAAGAGGAAGTAAACAGAAATGCTAGAGCTGAAGTGAATAGTATCTGAAATGAAGTATTTACTAGAGCGAGGTGTGGTGGCTCATGCCTAGTATTTTGGGAGGCTGAGGCTGGTGGATCACTTGAGCCCAGGAGCTTGAGACCAGCCTGGGCAACATGGCAAAACACCATCTCTACAAAACAAATTAAAAAAAATAGCAGACATGGTGGCACATGTCTGTAGTCTCAGCTACTTGGGAGGCTGCAGACATGGTGGCACATGTCTGTAGACTCAGCTAGTTGGGAGGCTGAGGTGGAAGAATCATCTGAGCCCAGGAAGTCGAGGCTGCAGTGAGCTGTGATCATGCCACTGCACTTCAACCTGAGTGACAATTAGACCCTGTCTCAAAAAAAAAAAAAAAAAAAAAAAAAAAAAACAAAAAACTCACCAGAGAGGTTTGATAGCAGATTTATGTAGACAAAATACATAACTGGAAAACTTGAAGATAGGACCATTGAAATTAACCAGCTTCAGGAGAAAAGAAAAAAGAAATGAGAATATAGCCTGAAAATATTTTAAAACAATATCAAACTGATGAACTTACGAATCATGAATTTTCTGGGAAGAAAATGGAGAAATGGAAGGAAATAATATTTGGAGAAACAACTTTCTAAATTTGACCAAAGACATGAAATACACATCCAAGAACCTCAATGAAATATAAGAAGGATAAGCAAAGCTATGTGCACTAAAACACACTGTAATCAAATTGTTGAATAGAAGAGACAAAAAGAGAAACTTAAAAGAAGTAAGAGATAAGTGTCTAATTAAATATAAAAGATGCTAGAAACAACTGATTTCTTATAAAAAACATAAAAGCCAGAAGGCAATAGAATGACATGTTTAAAGTGTTGAAAGAAAAAATAATGCTAGACAAGAAATCTGTATCTGGCAAAAATGTGCTTTACAAATTGACTTTTCCAGATTAGAAAAATAAAAAAAAAATCTACAGGAGTTTGTTACCACTGTATCTACCCTAAAATAAATGTTAAAGGAAGATCATTTAGATTGAAATGAAAGGACATTACATAGTAACTCAAAGTCATATGAAGAAATACACATTTCTGGTAAAAGTAACTACATAGGAAAATATAAACACCACTATTTAAAGAAATTGTAACTAGACATTTTATTTCTTACATTATATATAAAATAAGTGATTAAATATTTTCATAAGTCTGTTTTGTGTCACACAATATATAAAGATATAATTTGTGACAAAAGCAACATAGGCAGATCTGTAAAAACACAGACTGTTTAAATTATTCCATTGAAAATAAATTGGTATCAAATCAAACAACACTGTTATAAATTTGGAATGTTAAGTGTATCCCTATGGTAACCACAAACAATATCTAAAGTATCATATATATATATTTATATATATAAAATAGATATCTAAAATATATATATAGAGAGATATCTAAAAGGTATATATTATAGGTAATATATATATATATATATATACACACAAATAATACACATACATGCATACACAAAAATAAAGTTGGTAATCAAAATTGTTCACTCAAACAGCAAACAAACAAACACAAAAAAATTAAACACCAAAGAAGGCAGTAATGGAGGAAATAAATGACAAAATAAGAAGCATAATATATATAGAAAAAAAGAAAAATAGCAGAAATAAGTCTTTTGTTTCTACTTGTATTGTTAATGGACTAAAATCTCTAATGAAAAAGTCAAAATTTGCAGAAAGGAAAAAACTAATATGATCCAACTTTATGTTCTCTATGAATAATTAACTGTAGATCCCAAGACCCAAATAGGATAAAAATGAAAGTGGGAAAAGTATATTTCATGAAAATAGAAGCCAAAAGACAGGTGGGTAACTCTACTAATATCAGAGAAGTCAAAGCTGTTACAAAAGACAAAATACATCATATGTTGATAATGACATCAACTCATCAAGAAGATAAAACAATCATAAACATTTTACCTCAAATTAAGAAGTACAAAAATATATGAAGTGAACCTTGATAATGAAAAAAACAATGAGTTCTAAAATAATGATTGGAGACACCAATATACTATTTTCAATGGTGATTAGAATATCTAGACAGAACACTAAGAAAAGAGATGATTTGAACAACAGTATAAACAAGCAAGATTGAATAGACATATGTACAGAACACTCTACCCAACAACAGAAGAATATACATTTCTCTAATGCATGTACAATATTCTCTAAAATAGTCTATATGGTGACCAAAAAACAAGTCTCATTAAATTTAAAAAAAACAGATTTTATTACATATCTTCTCCTACTAAAATGGAGTAAATTTGAAAATAATTAATGAAAGGAAAACTAAAAAGTTCACACCTATGTGGCAATTAAGCTATAAACTGTTAAACAAAAATAGGTTAAAGAAAAATTACAAGGGAGAATGGAAAATGCATAGAAACAAATTAAGACAAAACCCCAACATTCCAAAAGCTATAAGCTGTGGTAAAAGCATTGCTTAGAAAAATATATTGGGAAACACCTACACTTAAAAAGGAAAAGGATCCTAATTTTATACTTTGAAAAAATAGGAAAAGGAGAGAAAGCTAAATCCAGATCTAGCAAAAGAAAATAAATAATAAAGATTAAACAGACATAAATGAAACAAAGTATAGAAAAACAATGGAGAGAGTCAATAAAACCAAAAGTCAGATTTTAGAAATGATTAAGAAAATTTACAAACCTTTGCCTAGATTGATGAAAAAAGAAAGAAGACATGAATAATTAAAAGCAAAAATAAAAAAGTGGGGCCATTACTACTGACCATAAAGAAGTAAAATAGACTATAACAGAGTACTAGGAACAATTGTACACTAACAAATTAGATGACCAAAAGGAATGTACAAACTCCTTGAAATACACAATTTACCTAAACCGACCCAAGAATTAGATAGATCAAATAAGTATTCAAAAACCTTTCAATAAATAAAAGTCCAGAACCAGGAGACTTCATTGGCAAATTCTACCAGATATTTAAAGACAGTTTAACACTAGTATCTCTCAAATTCCTCAGAAAAAAAAAATTGAAGAGAGAAGGAACCACTTCCTAACTCATTCTGTGAGGAAAGACATCACAAGAAAATTACAGATCAATATTCCTTATAAGTGTAGTACAAAAATCCTCAACAAAATACTAGCAAACTGAATGTAGGCACATATAAAAGGCTTTTATATCATAACCAGGTGGAGTTTATTTCAGGAATGCAAGGATGGTTCAACATAAGAAAATCCAGCCATGCAATGCTCTACATTAATAGAACAATTTAAAGAAATGCAGAATCACCTCAGCTAACCCAGAAGAGCATTTGACAAAATTCAAAACACATTCCCAATAAAAACACTCAGAAAACTAAGAATTGAAGGGAAATTCCTCAACATAATTAAGCCCATAACTAATATCATACTCAAAGATAAAATTTTCTAAATTGTTATTAAAATTACATTATGACAGTAAAGTCATTATAATTGTATTAGTTTGCTATGGATGCAATAACAGAGTACAACAAACTGTGTTGCTTAAATAACAGAAATGTATTGCCTTGCATATCTTGAGAATAGAACATCAATATTGTGGTGTCAGCTGATTTGGTTCCTTTTGAGGGGTGCGAAAGATAATCTGTTTCATGCTTCTAGCCTAGCTAATAGTAGTTTTATGGCAATCCCTGTTATTCCATGGCTTGGAGAAGCATTATTTCCATCTCTACCTTCATCCTTGTATAGCATTCTACTTGTGTGCATATCTATGTTCAAATTTTCCTTTTTATAAGGACACCAGTTATATAGAATTACGAACCCTTTCTATTCCAGTGTGATTCCAACTTAATTAATTACATAAGTAATAATACTGCATTTAAATAAGTTCACATTTGGAGGTACTGAAGTTAGGACCTCATCATATAGATTTTGAGAAGACACAATTTGTCCTGTAAGAGTCTTCCTTCTGTCCCCCACCAAATCCATGTCATTCTCTTTGTGCAAAATATATTAACCTATGCCAATATCAGTAAAAGTCTATCATGCCAGCATCAACTGTAAGTCCAAAATCTAAATATCATCAACCCAAAAAAAGGCTCAAATCCCACCATGTAAATTACCCAAATATTTTATAAATTAGACTTGGCACATGATTCATCCTAGGAGTATTCATCCAAATTCATCCAAATACTCAATCTCTGAACTTGTAAAACCAAAATTCAATGGTGGAACAAGTATAGAATATACATTCCTATTCCAAAAGGAAGAAATCAGAAGTAGAAAAAAAGTCTCAGGTCCCAAGGAAGTCCAGAACCTATTAGGGTAAATTTTATTACATTTTAAGTACTTCGAAAAAAAAACTTTTAGATTGGATTTTAGATCCTCTGAGTTCATCTGAGTGTTGGACACACACACACACACGGCACAGGTGTACAGGCATGGTAGCCCCACACTGAGTCCTTGGCCATAGCCCTTCCTTCTGGAACTGAGTTGGTGGATTCACCATCTGGACCAAGGAGGTAGCCCTACCCTTATGGTTGTTCTTTCCTTTTCGTGAAAGATAGCACATATTTGCAGCCAAAAAGCTCTATGGGCCCAGTTCTTGGCTGTAGAATTATAAAAGTCTAACAGATTTATTTCATTTAGTTCAGCCTCTATCCCCTGCAGTCCAAGTTGGCAAGCTTTCTGCTAAAATGGTTGATCGGATCTATAATTCAAGTATATAATCCCCTGTCGAGCAACACACTTAGTCCTCTTTCAGGAGTAAACTATCTGGATAGGTTGAGAATCTTTCAAATCAAGTGCTGTTTTCTTTCTGCTGAGCACAATCTTTTTCAGTTTATCTCCCTCCTCTCACATTTTATTAAAGTTAGCAAAAAAAGTGCTACCCAAATACTTTGCTTATAAAATATCTTCTCTAAATATCAGGTTCATCACTTACAAGTTCCACTTTCCACTCAACAGAACACAATTCTGCCAAGTCCTCTACCACTTCATGATAAATATCACTGTGTTAGTTAACTAGTGCTGCTTGAACAAACTACCACAAATTAAGTGGCTCAGAGGGAAACTTATTGTCTGAAATTTGGGGGCTAAAAGTCCAAAATAAGAATATCGACAGTGTTGATTTTTCCCTTTGTTTCCAAATTTTATTTTGGATTCAGAGGGCACATGTGCAGGTTTGTTACATGGATACATTGTATAACATTAAACACTGGGTTATAGATGATCCTGTCACCCAGGTAGTGAGCATAGTGCCCAATAAGCAGTTTGTCAGCCTATGTTCCCCTCCCTTCTTCCCTCCTCTAGTAGTCCCCAGTGTCTATTGCTTCTGTTATGTCCATGTGTACTAAATGCTTAGCTCCCACTTATGAGAACATGTGGTATTTTGTTTTCTGCTCTTAGAATAATTTGCTTAGGATAATGGCCTCCAGCTGCAAAGGACATGATTTTGTTCTTTTTATGACTGAGTAGTATTCCATGGTTTACATGTACTGCATTTTCTTTATCCAGTCCTCCATTGATGGGCACCTAGGTTGATTCCATGCCTTTGCTGTCATGAATACCGCTGCAATGAACATATGAGTGTACATGCCTTTTTGGTATAATGATCTAATTTCCCTTGCATGTATACCCAGTAATGGGATTGCTGGGTCGAACGGTAGTACTGTTTTAAGTTCTATTTTCTCCATTTTGTAGTTCCGTTTTAACTTTTAGAGAAATCTACAAACTGCTTTCCACAGTGGCTGAACTAATTTGCGTTCCCACAAATGGTATATAAGCATTCCCTTTTCTCTGTAGCCTCTCCAGTATCGATTTTTGACTTTTTAATAATTGCCATTCTGATGCCAGAAGATGGGATCTCACTGTGGTTTAATTTGCATTCTCTAATGATTAGTGATGATGAGTATTATTCTGTATGTTTGTTGGCCACTTGTATGTCAGAAGTGTCTGTTCATGTCTTTTGCTCATTTTAAAATTAGGTTGTTTGTTTTTTGCTTATTGATTTATTTAAGTCCCTTGTAGATTCTGGATATTAGACCTTTGTCAGATGGATAGTTTGTGAATATTTTCTCCCATTCTGTAAGTTGTCTGTTTACACTGTTGAATATATATATGTGTATGTGTATGTATATATATATATATATGTATATATATGTGTGTGTGTACATATATGTGTGTATATATATATATATATATACACACACACATATATATATGCCATGCAGAAGCTCTTTAGTTGAATTAGGTCCCAGTTGTCAATGTTTGGTTTTGTTGCAATTGCATTGGGGGACACAGCAATAAATTATTTTCCAAAGCCAATATCAAGAAGAGTATTTCCTACATTTTCTTCTAGGATATTTATGGTTTGAGGTCTTATGTTTAAATGTTTAGTCCATCTTGAGATAATTTTTGAACATAGTGAAAAATAGGGGTCCAGTTTCATTCTCTTGTATATAACTAGCAAGTTACCCCAGCACCTTTTATTGAATAAAATTATCCTTTACTCATTTTTGTCAACTTTGTCAAAGATCAGGTTGTTGTAAATTTACAGCTTTATTTCCAGGTTCTCTATTCGGTTTCATTGGTCTTTGTGACCACTTTTGTACCAGTATCATGCTGTTTTGGTTACTGTAGCCTTATAATATAGTTTGATGTTGGGTAACGTGATGCATCCAGCTTTGTTCATTTTATTTAGGATTGTTTTGCCTATTAAGTCTCATTTTTGATTCCATACTTTTTAGAATAGCTTTTTTACTATTTTTTGCAAAAAAAGATGCTGGTATTTTCATAGGAATACCATATAATCTGTAAATTGCTTTGGGCAGTATGGTTATTTGAAGAATATTGACTTATCCAATCCATGAGCCTGGATTACTTTTTTTATTTATTTGTGCCATGTCTGATATATCTCAGCAGTGTTTTTCTTTCTTTAGAGATCTTTCACCATCTCAGATGTATCCCTAGGTGTTTCAATTTTTTTTTTTGCTATTGTAAATAGAATTATGTTCTTGATTTGGCTGCCAGCTATAATGTTATTTATGTATAGAAATGCTATTGATGTTTGTACATTGTGTAACCTGAGATTTTACTGAAGTAATTTATCAGTTCTAGGGATGTTTTGATAGAGTCTATAAGTTTGTTTCTTCTAAGGGCTGTGAGAAAATAATCTATTCTAGGCATCTCTTTTTGGCTCAAAGATGACTATTTTCCCCCTATATCTCTTCATGCTGTCTTCCATTAATTTATATCTGTGTCCAAATTTCCTGTTCTTACAAGGCCACTAATCAGATTGAGGCCAAACCCAATGATCACACTTTAATTAATTATCTTTGTAAAGGCTTATCTCCCAATAAAGTCACATTCTGAAGTACTGGGGATTACAATTTAAACATATAAATGTTAGGGAACACAGTTCCATTTACAACATCAATAAAAATTAGAGACAATAGTCACTGTGATTTTTTTTTCTACTAATTTGACATCAACACTACATAGTAACTATGAAGTGTGCATGAAGCCAGACTGCCTTGGCATATCCCTGTCCCGCTATATCTTGAGATGTGACTTTTGGAAAGTAATTTTGTGCCTCTAGGAACTGTTCAACATAACAGATAAATAGTTTCTTTAACTGTTTTGTTACGTACCAAATGAAGTAATATTATGAAGTCCTTCAAGAAATGCTTGACACATAGTTAATGACATACATTAGTTTTTACACATAGGAGTTAGATAAAGGAATTATTAGATATTTCTTTAAAAAATAATGCTTGATATCTACCAGCTTTGTCTTTCCTATGGTAGCTCCTCTTTATCGATGTTGCCCCTTGTTAATCAATTTCAATAGAAAAACTGATTATAGCACCCTTCATTCACTACCAGAAAAAAAAAGGGGCAGACAATAATTTGGATCTTAAAAATTTGAGTCTTAAGACACATAAAATGATAGTAGCTAGATTCTTGGATAATCTCAATGGTCATTGAAAATCTGCTGCTAAGAAACAGTAATATTTTCTACTTCTTTTCTCCTTGAAGCAGGTCTTACAACAATTTCCTCAATTTGGAGACCTGCCTTTTTTTTTTAATAAAGATCCCAAAAAGACCTCTAAGTCTAGCAACAGAACCCATTTCAAGTTACATAATTAAGAATCTTTCATTCTTGATTAATTACAGTTTGGTCCTTTGAGAAATTAAGTTTCAGTACTCTTAGAAATATATTATGTTGCTATGGTCTGAATATGTCACTTAAAATTGTTGCTGAATTTCTCAGTCTGTAGAACTGTAAGAAATAAATTTATTTTGTTTATAAGTCACTCAGTTTCTAGTATTTTTTAATAGCAGCCCAAACAGACTAAAACATATAGTGTGACAATGCAAATGGATATAAACATGTCAATGATGTTCCAAGTCTCTCTTGAATGTTATGATCCCAAAGGAAGCTTGACATAACTTGTAACACATGCTATTTAAGAGCAATCTATGATTTTCAAAAACCTGGATGACTGGGTTCAGGGCCAAAGTGGTAGAGGTGTGAGTGATGTACATTCCAACTGTTGCTAATAAACCACTTTCAAAATGTTAGCTTGGCATTACTGAAAACTCAGAGAAAAATGTGAGAGACTGAAGTGGCCATATGGGACTCTTTATCTAGCTATGTTTAAAGATACAAAAGGGGGTTTTATATTTAGCTAAGTTGGTAAACTCCATGAAAAAGAAATATGTATGTTGTAGTAGAATAAGGACATAGAGAATCATGAATCGAATTGTGGAAATCCCAGAATAGGTTTTGTTTAAATTTTTAGTGGTAAAAAATTCCAAAATTACTTCAATCTTATTTTTGAAAAACACAAGAAACACAAACCCATAAATTATTAATAGTTGGGTCAGTAGTCTAGGCAAAAATAAATAAATAAATAAATGCTTTCTATCTGAAATGCAAGTGATAATAAGGCAATGAGAAGATGTCTGATGAAAAACCAAAGTAGTGGCTACAACATCTTGATCAGTTAAAAATAAGTGCTGTATATACTCTATAAATTTCCATCATCTTGTCCATATGTCTGTTTATCTAATTATTTATTTTCTCTTCTTTGCTCTAACTAATGTAATGTGAAATTTATACCTGTATATGAAAGTTTTTAGTTAAACTTTGCACTTGCTTAAGAATTTGTAGAACATATAAAAGTTATTGGGACAGAACTAAGTAACATAATGAAATTATTCAGATATTCTAGTGCCCAGATGTCTAATAGTATCTCCTTTGGACTTAATATCTAGAAATTTCCAGTCTCCACTGGGAAGGATTATTGTTTCCAATCATACAGTTGTATTTTCTTAAGTAGTTTGATTGTATTCACAGGAATAAATGGGTGCATACACTGAGCAAACAAAGGGAAGGATATAGTTATTGGTTAATTTTAGCTATCTAACATCCTTTCACTTGGTGATTTGTGTTTTATTCAGTATGTAGCTCTGATGAAATTGCCAATAAAAGGACCAAGCTTCACTGATCACAAGAAGTAATATGGAATCCATACTATCATATTCCCATTTTCTGAAAACTTAACCATGAGTTGGGGCTTCAAGGACAGGAGGCTTCTGACATTGGGTTATCTGATGGCACAACACCAAAGAGACATTCTACACTGGTTTGAACTGAGAGCAATGGACCTGAGACCATTCTTGAAACCAGGTATACTGGGTAATCATTTGATTTTTTTTTTTTTTTTTGCTACTCAATGTCATATTACTAAATCATTGATTCATGTTTAATTATGTAAGCAAATATTTCTATTGCTTATAATTGAAGAATTCTTAGGATATAAACCTAAAAACAAAATAATTTTAAAAAATAAAATATTGGCTTTCAGAAAATTCAAAAATATACAGATTTACAATTATATATTTATTTATCAATAAATAAGAAAGCATGAACCATAATCATAGTAAAAGCTCAGAGATAATGGGTAATTTCTACAGGTAAGAGTTATTAACTAAAAATACGGGCATATTTTATTATAATTCACAATAAAATCAGATGTTTTTATTTATATATAATACTATATAACTGATTTCAAATTAAGCTCAATCAGAGCTCAAAAAAGTGGTTAATGGTTAGTTAAACCATGATATGTATTATGAATATGTTATAATAATGTCAAAATATAGGTATTGCCTTAATCAAATATGTAAAGATTCTCTCATGAAATCAAATTTCTCAAATAATGTTAGTATAGAATGCTTAATAAGAACATTGAAGGTGATTTACAACTTGAATAGTTTCAATTTTTTTAACAATTAAGTTTCTTAGCAAACATGGAAAGTGGAATGCATGAGTAGGTAATATTGAGAATACATTTCAGAGATAGAAACCCATTCTGAAGCAAGGAGCACTTTGTTGATTACAGTAAAAGTTATGTCAGATACAATGTTTGGAATGATGGCCATCATGATAGTGTTGAAATTATTAAACATTTTTACAAGGTGCCTGGGACTCTGCTAAGTCATTGTATTAGTCTGTTTTCGCTGCTGATAGAGACTTACCTGAGACTGGGGTGGGGGAGTGGGGAAAAGAGGTTTAATTGGACTTACAGTTCCACATGGCTAGAGAGCCCTCAGAATCATGGCAGGAGGTGAAAGGCACTTCTTTCATGGTGGCAGCAAGAGAAAAATGAGGAAGAAAAAGCAGAAAGCCCCAATTAGCCCATCAGATCTTGTGAGACTTATTCATTTTCACGAGAATAACATGGGGAAAGACCAACCCTCATGATTCAATTACCTCCCCCTGGGTCCTGCCCACAACACGTGGGAATTCTGGGGGATACAATTCAAGTTGAGTTTTGGGTTGGGACACAGCCAAACAATATCAGCCATTTATGAGTTTATTCTTATTTAATTTTAATAAGACTCTTACTAGATGAGGATATATTTTTGGAGAATGTGTGTATAGAACAGAAAATCAGAAAGCATTTGCGAGACTTATTTTAACAGTACAGGGTAAAGGTTTTCATTTTCATTCCCTAAAATTATGTTGCACACCTTGGAAATTGGTCTTAGTTATATAGACAGAGCCATGAAGAGTAACAATATTTATGGGAAAAGAAACCAGGTTGAATTTTATAGTTTTGCTTTAGTCAGATCCTAAAAGTTAAGTGTGATGATTTTCTTTTCTTTCTTTTTTTTTTTTTTTTTTTTTGAGACGGAGTTTCACTCTTGTTGCCCAGGCTGGAGTGCAATGGTGCAATCTTGGCTCAACGCAACCTCCACCTCCCAGGTTTAAGTAATTCTCCTGCCTCAGCCTCCTGAGTAGCTGGGATTACAGACATGCAACAACACCCTTGGCTAATTTTGTATTTTTAGTAGAGACGGGGTTTCTCCATGTTGGTCAGGCTGGTCTCGAAATCCTGACTTCCGTTGATCCGGCCACCTCAGCCTCCCAAAGTGCTGGGATTACAGACATGCAACAACACGCTTTGCTAATTTTGTATTTTTAGTAGAGACGGGGTTTCTCCATGTTGGTCAGGCTGGTCTCGAAATCCTGACTTCCGTTGATCCGGCCACCTCAGCCTCCCAAAGTGCTGGGATTACAGGCATGAGCCACCATGCCAGGCCAAGATTAATGATTTTCTCTTGACTCAGAAATGTAACACAGTAGGCAAGCTGTTGAATTTTGCATAAATTAAAGCATATTTTTGCTCTTCTAAGCCATACCTGTGCATATAGTTAACTTTTTCAGGTAATTACTTCCAGGTGCTTGCCTATAGGAATTCATTGCAATGCAATGAAATCAGAGTAATAAACTCATCAGCAAAAATTAACCCATAGGCATGTTACAGAGACACGTATACTTAAATGACATCAGTATTATAATTTGTGGATTTTAGATGTTTATATTCATGATGAAGACAATCTCCTCCTAGGTAATTAAGAAGATCTACATACAACTAGGTATATTTGACTTTATCCTAAGCTCACTGGACTATTTCATATGCCCAATTTTTAAATGGGGCTTTTAGATTTTTACCATTAAACATATAGAAATCTTTATGATTTGATTGTCCCATCATTCTAGTTAAGTAAAATACAATGCAACTTCCATTTTACTATCTGTTCATCTTGATTTCAGGCTCTGTGAAGAAAATTTAAATTGAATATTTAACATTAGCTTTGGTGGAAAGAACTGAAATATTTCTTATTTTAGCATTTTATTTTTTAAAAATATTGTCTTAAATTGCTGAATTTACTTTAAATCACATGTAAGAATAATAAATTTCCATCCATTTCAAGTTCTTATCTATGGTACTTAGAGTTGTTGCATAATATTTTGATGATTTTAAGAGTTTACAGAGACTTTATATTGGTATTTATGTTAGAACAAAGAAAAGCATTTTATTTCAAGCAGGAAACATTCGTTGAGCGCCTTATTGATATTTATTAAATTCCTGTGGTGTAAGTATTGTCAGCTGCAGGGAACACCACTCATAAAAACATGTAAGGTCTATGTAAATAAGTATAGAAATATGAGTAAATAAGACTAAAATTATATACCTATATATTTACATATATATAGCCATTTTAAAAATATATCTTTTGTTATATATTTTGGGCTTGTGTTTTATTTTTGCTCAAATCATTATGTTATTCTTATAAAACAGTACCACTGAGCAACATTCAGGTAGAAAGTCAACTTTAGCAGGATTATTTTCTTTTTTTTTTTCAGCTCTATTTTCACTTACACATAGTTAGGAGCATTACAAGAAATAAGGAATGCTTAGTTGAACAAAACCCCTCTAGAAAACTTAAAAAGAATTACAAATACATGCTAGAAACACAAATGATTCTTTAATTTACTCTGTGTGAAAAAAACTCTAAATTTAGATTTTAAAAATCTCAGAAAAGTAGAATTTTGAATTTCAAAGACATTTGAAATTAGATGAAGTTATGTATTGAATTACAATAGATTTGGAGGGAATATTTAGATTCTACCTGTTATAGCATTAATGTATTTTAAGAAAAGCATGTGTTTAAAACTTACTTACCAATGCAACAGTGTTGGAAAGTGAAGGCTAATCAGTTTTTCCACTATGAGGGCTCCACACTCATGCATGGATTGATTTCAGTTATAAAAGTGCTTGAGTCTGTGAGTTCAACCACTTTCTCTCAGGCTCACTCTTTCTTTGCCCTGACACCATCAGATGAAACAGCAAGAAGGCACTCACCAGATGTGGGCCCATGATCTTGTACTTCCCAATATTCAGAACTGTTAGCCAAAGAAATTTCTGTTTATTTTAAAAGTCTGTGCTACTCTGTTAGAGCAGCATGAAACAGACTAAGACATCATCAGTGCATCACATATCAGTGACCCCTTATTTGTAAATTTGGTGGATATTATTTTTGAAAAATAATTGAGGCCACCATAGAGACAACATCACTTAGGTATTATGAATAATTAGGCAATCTGAGAGACCTGTCAATTCACAAAGAAACCTTACATAAGGCAGCCTTTTGTAAGCATTATGGTAACACAAATATATGGAAATACTCTTGAAAGGACTCGCTGATAGAGAGTACTGGGAGTTATTTTGCAGGAAGCTAACAACAACAACAAAAATCCAAAAGCAAATTGGACTGCAGTCCTGAGCACCTGGGAATGTGGTGGCCAAGAACTTGAATTTCTGCTTACTATAATGGAAGAGGGAATACACAAAATACAGAGGCATGGAGTCAGGAAGCCAGTTTCAGAGAAGTAGGAAATTACAAGTGCAAGAAGACGGAGTAACAGCTTGATCTAAATTTGTAGTTACAAGGGTTTGGTAGATGATTTGAGCACGGATCTTTACAGCAACACTGAAGTTAATGATAGCAATCATTTGTACCTCAGCAAATGATTGAGCTGGGTCTAAAATTGCTAAAAACTAAAATGTGTGAAGAGCAGTTTACAATTTCCTAGATTAATAGGGATTTCCACTATTTGGCTACCAGCAGCAAAATGTTTGGTAAAAAACCTTCCACAAGTTAGACTCTTTGATATTTATAGGTTAAAATAAACCGTAATTTATCAGTTGCTAATCATGTAAAACAAAAGCAATCCAGAACTCAGCATAAAAATAGATATTTGTTACCATGCTCACTGGAAAGTACACCAACTGGGAAATCTGTGTTTCATATTTTAGATTTACAGGTGCAATGGCCTGGCTCTACTTTAAGCATCAGTTCTAAGAATAAGTTGGGGCATTGTTGTTCTGGGTGGCTTTTACTCTGGAATCAGGGGGTTACCTGAGGAATGTTCTTATCACAGCAATGGTAAACACAAGAAGGCAAATAGAAACGTGCTTCAAAAAGACTTAGAATAGACACACTATCATTTCATCTACAAACAACTGGGCAAAACTAGTCAAAGGCCAAGGTATCTATAAAAGTAATGGGAATATATAGTATGTCTCTTACTAGTATCACTTCAGTTATATAAGAAATGACCTACATATAGGTAAAGATTTAGAACAATAATTCAATCAACCACCTACCACTTCCCAAATATTAACACATTTTGTGACAATCAAGACATTGTAAGAAAATATCAGAAACTAATTCAAATAAAAGTAAACTTAAGAACTACAGAAGTTGTGTTATAGTCAGAATGCTTTATCTCCCCAGATTCATATGTTGAAACTTAATATCCAATATGGCAGCATTAGGAGGGACTTTGGGAGATTAGGGCACGAGGACAGAGTCCTCATGAATGGGGTTAACTTCCTTACAAAGGAGGCCCAGGGGTGCTCATTCGCTCCTTCCCCCATGTGAGGAAACATAGAAGGCACCATCACTGAGCAAAAAGCCCTCAGCAGACCTTGAGTCTTTTGGTGCCTTTTCCTTAAAAGTGCCAGCCTCTAGAATTGTAAGAAATAAATTTCTATTGTTTATAAACTGTCCAGTTCATGACATTTTTGTTGCAACAGCAAAAATAGACTAAGATATGCTATATTTGTTAAGTTCAGAAAATAAAATTATTCTGTATAAACATGTTTAAAGAAAAAGCAGATAAAATTACAAAGGCAAGTAAATGCTAAGAAACTGTCAGTAACGATGAGTTAGAGTTGAAAAAATTAATAAAATATCTAGAAAAACACCACATAACTTGCCAAAAGTCAATGGATGAGTGAAAAACTAAAGAAAGAATTAACATGGAAGAACTATATTAGAAATGTATTGATAAGGCATTATAAAGAGATAGGAATATCAAAAACAAAAAAAGAGAGGCTAATTATAAAGAGGAAAGAATCAGAAGTGTCATCATTTATCTGAGAGGAGAAAGTGAGAAAATGAAGTGAAAAACTAAAGAGAAAATTGTTATGGATTATCCAAAATTGGTTAAAAATGTAAATTTACAGATCTAGTAAAAATATTGCCTCAAAGGCAGGATAAGATAAATAATAATCACTAATATCTGCATTATGAGTCTTCTGAAAATTAAGATAATTTGAGACAGAGATGATTTTGAAATCAGTCACAGGAAAAGACTTTATTAGAAAAATTATAGTTATAATGACATCATGTTTGGTAACAAAAACAAATAATGAGAGCCAAAAAGTAGTAAAATAATATTTCAAAAGTGAAGGTAAAAACGACTTTTATAATTGTATATCCAGTAATATCATTCTTCAAAATTAAATGATATGAAAGTATTTTTAGATACATCAAGTTTGTCACTGAAATATTTATTCTAAATGAACTGCTAAAGGACAAGCATCAAGAAAAAGAAGATATGACTAAAATTGTCTAAGACAGAAGAACATATAATTTTTAAAAAGTTTTTGTTTTGTTGGGTTTTTTAATATTTAATTTTTATTTTTAAGTTTGTATTAAGAAGGTTTAACTGTTGAGGGTTAAAAAAAAGATCAGAATCAAAAGATTCTACCAATATGTTTATATATGTCTGTGTGTATATGTTTAAAGGAAGGAAATCTTCTCATATGATAAAATATCTAGAAATCTGTAGTTCTAATATTGCCTTAACACATATACACACAGACACGTATAAACATATATGTGTTTAATTTGTCAATATTTTCTTTTACTTAAAGTATCACATGGGACACTTCAAGTAAAAGAAAATTTCTCAACAAATTAAATTAAACAGAATTAATTGGAGCAAAGAACAATTCATGAATTGAGAGAGCACTCCCAACCAGAAGAGGTACGGAGAACTCTTCCCAGCAGTGTGAGTGGTGAGCTTTGATAGTTCAACACTGCAGCAAAATGGAGAAATCACTGGATTGTCTGCAGCTAGGAATGTGGTTTATTTGTGAAGGATGTGAGGGGGTATTTACCTTATTTGACCATCATGTGATCAGTTGGCTTCCCAGGATTGGTGGAAGCTCCATTGTTAATGATTGTATGAAAAGTGGGCTGTGTATTAGTGCATTTTCATGATGCTTGTAGAGACATACACGAGACTGGGAAGAAGAAAAGATTTAATTGGACTTACACTTCCACGTGGTTGGGGAGGCCTCAGAATCATGGCAGGAGGCAAAAGACACTTCTCACATGGAGGCAGCAAGAGAAAATGGGGAAGATGAAAAAGTGCAAACACCTGATAAACTCATCAGATCTCGTGAGACTTATTCACTACCACTAGAACAGTATGGGGGAAACCGCCTCCATAATTCAAATTATCTCCCACCGAGTCCCTCCCACAACATGTGGGAATTATGGGAGTACAATTTACGATGAGATTTGGGTGGGGAAACAGAGCTAAAATATATCATTCCATCCCTGCCCCTCCAAATCTCACGTCCTCACATTTCAAAACCAATCATGCCTTCCCAACAGTCCCCCAAAGTCGTAACTCATTTCAACATTGACCCAAAAGTCTACAGTCCAAAGTCTCATCTGAGACAAGGCAAGTCCATTCTGCCTATGAGCCTGTAAAATCAAAAGCAAGCTAGTTACTTCCTAGATACAATGGGGGTACAGGTATTGGGTTCCAAATGGGAGAAATTGGCCAAAACAAAGTAGTTGCAGGGTCCATGCAAGTTCGAAATCCAGTGGGGCAGGCAAATTTTAAAGCTCCATAATGATCTCCTTTGACTCCAGGTCTCACATCCAGGTCATGCTGATTTAAGACATGGGTTCCCATGATCTTGAGCAGCTCCACTTTTGTGGGTTTGCAGGGCACAGCCTCTCTCCTGGATGCTTTCATGGGCTGGCATTGAGTGTCTGTGGCTTTTCCAGGTGAACGGTGACAACTGTTGGTGGATCTACCATTCTGGGGGCTGGAGAATGGTGACCCTCTTTTCACAGCTCCACTAGTTGGTGCCCCAGTAGGGATTCTATTTGGGGGCTCCAACTCCATATTTCTCTTCTGCACTGCCCTAGCAAAAGTTCTCCATGAGGGCTCTGCCCCTGCAGCAAACTTCTTCCTGGGCATAGAGGTGTTTCCATACATCTTCTGAAATCTAGGCAGAGGTTGCCAAACCCCAATTCTTGACTTCTGTGCACTTGCAGGCTCAACACCACGTGGGAGCTGCCAAGGCTTGGGGCTTGCACCCTCTGAAGCTATGGCCCAAACTCTACATTGTCCCCTTTCAGTCGCGCTGAAGTGGATGGGATGCAGGGAACCAAGTCCTTAGGCTGCACACTCACAGTGACCCTGGACCTGGCCCAAAAAAACATTTTCTCCTAGGCCTCCAGGCCTGTGGTGGAACGGCTTCCATGAAGACCTCTGACGTGCCCTGGAGACATTTTCCCCATTGTCTGGAGGATTAACATCAGGCTCCTTGCTACTTAGGCAGATTTATGCAGCTGGCTTGAATTTTTCCTCAGAAAATGGGTTTTTCTTTTCTATCACATTGTCAGCCTGCAAATTTTCCAAACTTTTATGTTCTGCTTCCCTTATAAAACTGAATGCCTTTAACAGCACCCAAATCACATCTTGAATGCTTTGCTGCTTAGAAATTTCTTTGGCCAGATACCCTAAATCATCTCTCACAAAGTTCCACAAATTTCTAGGGCAGGGGCAAAATACTGCCAGTCTCTTTGAGTAACCTTTGCTCCAGTTCCAAACAAGCTCCTTGTCTCCATCTGAAACCATCTTGACCTGGAATTTATTGTCCATATTGATATCAGGCTTTTGGGCAAAGCCATTCAACAAGTCTTTAGGAAGTTCCAAACTTTCCCACATTTTCCTGTCTTTTTCTGAGCCCTCCAAACTATTCCAACCTCTGCCAGTTACCCAGTTCCAAAGTCATTTCCATATTTTCAGGTATATTTTCAGCAATGCACCAATCTACTGATACCAATTTACTGTATTAGTCAGTTTTCATGCTGCTGGTAAAGATATACCTGAGACTGAGAAGAAAAGAGGTTTAATTGGACTTACAGTTCCACGTGGCTGGGAAGGCCTCAGAATCATGGCAAGAGGCAAAAGGCACTTCTTACATGGTGGCAATAAGAGAAAATGAGAAAGATGCAGAAGTGGAAACCCTTGATAAAATCATCAGATTTCATGAGACTTATTTTGATTAACAAAATGACCTCCAGTTGTATCCATTTTGATGCAAATTACAGTTTCATTCTTCTTTACGACTAAGTAACATTTCATTGTGCATATATACTACATTTTTTAATCTGCTAATCTATTGATAGGCACCTAGGTTGATTCCCTATTTTGGCTACTGCAAATAGTGCTGCAATAAACATGAGAGTATAGATATCTCTTAGATATATTGGTTTCCTTTCTTGTGGATATATACTCAGTAGTGGAATTTCTGGATCATTTGAGAGATCTATTTTTAGTTTTCTGAGGAACCTTCATACTGTTCTCCATAGTGTCTTTAGTTTTCTGAGGAACCTTCATGCTGTTCTCCATAGTGTCTTTCCCAGACACTCCATACTGTCTTTTCCTAGACAGTAAATGTACCAGTAACAGTGTATGAGGGTACTCCTTTCTCCACATTTTTGCTGGCATTTATTATTGCCTATCTTTTTGATATAAGCCATTTTAACTGGTGTGACATAATATTGCATTGTAGTTTTGATTTGCATTTCTCTGGTGTTTAGTGATGTTGAACATTTTTTTTTAAATACTTGGTGGCCATTAGTGTGTTTACTTTTGAGAAATTTCTGTTCAGACCTTTAGCCCATTCTTAAATTAGATTATTTATTCCTTGCTATTGAGTTGTCTAAGCTTCCTGTATTTCTTGGTTATTAATACCTTGTTAGATGTTTGTAAATATTTGCTACCATTCTGTGGGTTGTCTATTCATTTTGTTGATTGTTTCTTTTTCAATGCAGAAGGATTTTAGTTTTATGTAATCTCAACTGTCTATTTTTGTTTTGCTTGCCTGTATCTTTGAGGTATTACACAAAAAATTTTTGCCCAAAACATTGGAGCATTGTCTCCAATATTTTCTTCTAATAGTTTCATAGTTTCAGGTCTTATATTCAAGACTTTAATTCATTTTAATTTGATTGTTGTGTATGGTGAGAGGTAGCAGAGTAGTTCAACCTTCTGCACATAGTTGTCCAGTCTTCCCATCACCATTTATTGAAAAGACTGTCGTTTCTTCATTGTAACTTCTTGGTTCCATTGAAGACTACGAGTTGGTTATAAATTTGTGGATTTATATCTGAGTTCTCTATTCTGTTATTTTGAACTATGTATCTGTTTTTATGTGAGTACCATACTGTTTTGGTTACCATAGCTTTGTAATAAAGTTTGAAGCCAGGAAATCTCATATCTCCAGTTTTGTTCTTTTTGCTCAGGATTGCTTTTGCTATTTGGAGTCTTTTGTGGTTCCACATAAATTGTAGAAGATTTTTTTCTATTTCTGTGAAGAATGTCATTTGTATTTTGGTAGGAATTATACTGAATCTGTAGTTTGTTTTGGGTACTATTGTTATCTTATCAATATAAATTCATACAATCCATGAGCATGACCTATTTTTTCTATTTTTGTCTTCTATTTATTTCATCAGAGTTCTGTGAAATTTTTTTATATGGATCTTTCATTTATTTGATTGGATTGATTCTTAGGTATTTTATAACATATTTATTGCAGCTATTGTAAATGGGATTGCTTTCTTGATTCTTTTCAGATTGTTCATTGCTGGCATATATAAAGGCGACTGATTTTTGTATGTTGATTTTGTATCCTGCAATTTTACTGAAGTTGTTTAACAGTTCTAACAGTTTTTTTGGTGGAGTCTTTACTAAATTTCTTTACCTATTTATCCATTGATGGACATATATATTTATTCTATATTTTTGCTGTAGATAAAAGTGTAGATTTTTTTTGACATACTGATTTCATTTTTTTTTTTTTTGGATAAATACCCAGTGGTGAAATTGCTCGATCATGTGATAATTTTAAGTTTTTGAAGAACCTTCATACTATTGGTACAACCATAATGGATGTACCAATTTATATTCCCAACAAAAGCATATAAGGGTTTCCTTTTCTCTACACTTGTTATTGTTCTGTATTTTGATAATAACCATTGTAATTGGAGTGAGATGATATTTCCTTATGCTATCTCACTGTGATCTCATTTTATTTTGGTTTGCATATACCTGATGATTAGTGATATATAAATTATTTAGCCACTAAAGCCTTTAGGGTAGAGTCAGCTATAGCAGCTAATATTTGAGACAGAGTTCTAACTATAGTCTCATTTATATTTATGCTAAGCAACAGAAGAAACATTAAAACAAAGATGTCCTTTTAGAGGAGTTTATGCCTGCTGACAAATTATTCTTTATTCTATAGTTCAAATTATAAGGTATTGACCAATATTCAGTTTCTATTTGAATATGGAATAATCTAATTCAAATCTACATTGAGCCTAAAATAAGAAAATACCACTGACTGAGACAGGATTTGCTTACCTGTATGTTACCATCTATAGATAGAAGCAAATCCTTGAGGATTTCATCAGACAGTAACTGTGGGATGCTTTCTTGTATTTGGGGTCACGAATAGGGAAGTGCAAAGGCTCCATGATTAAATCATTGTATGGTTAGAGGCTACTGAGAGTTAAGGGATTAAGGTAATCCATTTGTCCACAAATTGTCAAATTATCTTTCACTTTGGTTTACTTACTCAATTTATGGAATAATTTATCTGAAAAACTCTCACTATAGGTTTCTCCTACTGTTAGATTTAAAAAAGGAGTCTAATACATGGATCTAAAAGTCTAACCCTATAGAAAGAACTAGATGTTCAATTTGAACAAGTAGTTGCCCTTGGAGGATCAATTAAATCTGTTACAGGTGAACCAGAGGATCTTTAACTTATTGTAGGAATTTAGATTTAGCTTGACATATTCAATGTTCAGTTAAGTTTTCTGCATAAGCTATCAATCATGAAATCATAATCCTAGTATTATTTTGCCACACTAAACAGAAAGAAGGCACAGGGAAAAGAGGAGAAGGGAATACGGTTGTAGTATTGTTAGTGAAGTCTTGATCCATAATCTTGGGGAAGTTGTTGTGTCTAGTATGGCATCTGCTTCTGGGAAGAAACCTCTCTCTGCCAGTTTTACCTTGAGTTATCCAACAGGTGCACAGTTTGTCTTAATCCATTTGTGATGCTATAACAAAATACCTTAAACTGGGTAATTTATAAACAGCAGAAATGTATTTTTTATAGTTCTGGAAAATAACAAGTTCAAGGTCAATGTACTAGCACTGATGTTTTATGAGAACTGCTCTTTGGTTCCAAGATGATGCCTTGTGTCTTCACGTGGCAGAAAAACAAGAGAGCTCTCCCTTTAACCCTGAGCCTTTTTAAAAGGATACTGATCCCATTTACGAGGGTAGAACCCTCATGAATTAATCACCTCATTAAGGCTACACCTCTTAATGCTGTAGCATTGAGGATTAAATTTCAACATGAATTTTAGAGGAGGACAATTATTCAAACCATTGCAGGTCCCAAAAGTATGGAGGGGCCCTACTGACTTAAGAAATGTGGACACAAGACACGAGGCCCTGCAGTTTTTTGCAATGTGGGTGCTGAGAAAAACTATGTATGGTGCCTTCCAGTGGGGCTCAAGGGCAGCTTTTCTCTGGTGTTATTTTTAGAAACCCCAATTTCCAGGTTTGAGATTATTAAAGTCCTTGTTCTCTTCAATTGGTGGGTCACAAAAGGGCACATTTTACCTGGTAAAAATATGCTTTGGCATAATGCCATTAAAGCCCTGCAATATTGAGTCATATTGAACTTTATAAGAGCAGATCATATATAAGATTCTAATATAAGTGGCACAGATTTTCCTATATATGAAACCTATATAGGACCCATTTAACTATTTCATGATGGATCAGGTGTGTTTTTCAGTGTGGGTAGATCTGTTTGAGATAAAGGCCAATGGTAATGTCTTTGGCCAAGACAATTCCATCAACTTAGCGAACTTTGTCAATTTTGGTTAAAAAATATCATTTTGTCTATTAAACCTCTCAGAAGATTAAAGATAATAAAAAACAATGGTATTGCCACTGTTTGCATAATACTTTATTTAACTCTTTGATAACTTGTCCAGACAAATGAGTGCCTTTATTATTGGAGATTTCTCCGAGAATATCTTATACAGAAAAAAGTTTTCTAATAACCTTTTAGCTACTGTTATAGCATTAGCCTTCCTGCAAGGGAAAGCTTTTGTCTAAGAACAAACAGAGTACTATAGGAACATTTTGATATGTCACTCAGGGTGGCAATTGAATAAAATGTATTTGTAGGTGTTCAAATGATCTAGCAGGTGATGGTAATGTACCTCCTGCAGACTTTATTATCATGCCAGGATTATGGGTTTGACAAATGGTTGTAGATTACTTTAGCAATTTTTAGAACAGTCACTATACCATTTTAAAAATAACTTTTACTATTCTATCTACACAATGATGAGTCATGGAGTGCAGAGCTTTTTAAAAATATAATTTAAGCTCTAAGAACACAGAAAAGGCAAGACCACTTTCTGAGCCCTCCATGAGTCCATGCTTAATATTAAATTTACATGCATTTGAATACCAGTTTTGTTTTTCAAATTAGGTATATGGCACTGTTTATTAAACAAGTTATCCTCAGTGATTTGACTTAAATAAATCCTAAGGAGTTTGTTTCAATTACATATCTTTAAAGTTTCAGTAGTAGCCAACTCAGCAGGTAAATGTGTCAGGAAATTTCTTTGGAATTAAATTTTGTTCTGATTGATGTTCGATTAGCAATTTTTTGACCCAATCAGTTTCTTCATAAGAGTTCTGGGAATTTTTGCCCAGTTCAATGGTATTATCTTAAAGTTATCAGTAACTTGTATTTGTCAGTCTTTTCCATGAATCTCCTTTAATATGAAACACTATAGTTTTATAGTTGTTTGAAATAGCTTTCAGGAAAGTACCAGAGTAAAACAATGAGTTAATTGTAGTTAATTATCTGTAGAAGAAAAGACTTAAAATGACTACGGTAAAAGATCAAATGAGAGTTCATTATAATGCAATTAAGAAGGAAATTTTGTTATTTCTATGGCACAAAATATTTCAAAGAAATGATTAAAATTGTGACTGCCAGAGTTATACCGGGACTATCAGATTTTTACAAATTACATACAGTTTCTAAAACGCATATTAACATACTCATAAAATATGACTTTAAAAAGTTTCAGCATTGCTTATTATTTGACAATTCTTCCCATGTGATTTAACATATCAAATATACCTAATTACTTTAACATCTCTCTTTTTATAAAGAGAAAAAACAACTTCATTTGAGATACTCCAGGGGCCCATCTGGATACTCCCTAAGTTAGTTCAAGGTCAAAAGGTCTTAATTTAGAATTTTGTTTTTGAAAGTTGTCAAAAATGTCAAAAGGTTTAAAACATTTGATTTAAATAGGATCACATGGCTTTGTGAAAGCATATGTATTCAATTAACTAGAGTGGCAATTAAAAGACTTCAAAGGAAAATACAGAAAGTTTCATAGCTGTAGGAAATTCTTAGCTCTTTTAACAGAAAGAACTCAGTTGTCTTAAGTAAATAAAAACCTATTAAATACAAATGATGCACAGAAAATTACCTCTATGAAACACAGAATCTGTTTCCTAGACCAATAATCTATAAAGATAAAACTTTCACAATTTCTTATTAAGGGCAGAAAATTACTTCAATAAAATCTTGTTATTTTAACAGAGTGGACCAAATTCTAGTTTTGCATCTATGTACTTTTGATATTAATTTTCAATTTTGAAAGAAAAAAACAAATAAATAATTATTTTTAAATCTTAACCAGCTTAATCACACATAAAATTCCTAGTGAACAGAGGGGTGACTTGGAGTAGAATGGCAGGCAGGTTGGCCCTAAGCAGTTTCCAGCTTGACTTCTTCCTTTAGTTATTTGGAGGCCCCAAGATTTATTTTTCTTTCACAGAGGCTTGCAGAGGAGAAATATTGGAAAAGTAATTTTATGTGTAATTAAGCTGGTTAAGATATAAAATAAATGCATATCTGATTGCCTCTTTTGGAGAGGCTAATAAGAAACTCAAAAGAATGCAACCATTTGTCTCTTATCTACCTATGACCTAGAAAGCTCCCAGCTTGGGTCTTTCCGCCTTTGCTTCAAGTTGTCCTGCCTTTCCAGACCAAACCAGCGTTCATCTTACGTATGTTGATTGATGTCTTATGCCTCCCTAAAACGCATAAAACCAAACTGTTCTCTGACCACCTTGGTCACATGTCATCAGAACCTCCTGAGGTCGCATCACTGGTAGGCATCCTCAACCTTGGCAAAATAAACTTTCTAAATTAACTGAGACCTGTCTCAGATTTTTGGGGTTCACATTTTGGTAACCACAAAGGGATTCTGAGGGGAAATGCCCCTGACTTTGACAAATCTCCTATCATTCTTGGTACCAGCATGAGACAACTTTCTGGCTCAAATGAATAGGATGATTTGCTGAGGTCTGGGAGCACCTCCTCCAGAAAATCCTTGATCTCTCAAAGTTTTGTCAAGATCTAAAGTTTATTTTGCTGTACAACTTCACTTCTACAGCGTTTTTATAATCAGTCGGTTTTCATCTTACACTTTTTTACTTTTTCTTTGTGGAGTAACCAGTCACTCTACTTAAAAACAAAGTTATTCTTTCTTTAAAAGGGGAAAAAACATGATCTTGGTGGATAAGCTTTTTGATGTGCTGCTGGATTCAGTTTGCCAGTATTTTATTGAGGATTTTCACATTGATGTTCATCAGGGATGTTGGTCTAAAATTCTCTTTTTTTGTTGTGTCTCTGCCAGGCTTTAGTATCAGAATGATGTTGGCCTCATAAAATGAGTTAGGGAGGATTCCCTCTTTTTCTATTGGTTGGAATAGTTCCAGGATGAATGGTACCAACTCCTCTTTGTACCTCTAGTAGAATTTGGCTGTGAATTCGTCTGGTCCTGGGCTTTTTTTTTTTTTTTTGGTTGGTAGGCTATTAATTATTGCCTCAATTTCAGAGCCTGTTATTGGTCTATTCAGGGATTCAGCTTCTTCCTGGTTTAGCCATGGGAGGGTGTATGTGTCCAGGAATTTATCCATTTCTACTAGATTTTCTAGTTTATTTGTGTAGAGGTGTTTATAGTATCCTCTGATGGTAGTTTGTATTTCTGTGGGATCTGTGGTGATATCCCCTTTATTATTTTTATTGCATCTATTTAATTCTTCTCTCTTTTCTTCTTTATTACTCTTGCTAACGGTCTATCAATTTCGTTGATCTTTTCAAAAAACCAGCTGCTGGATTCATTGATTTTTTGAAGGGCGTTTTGTGTCTCTATCTCCTTCAGTTCTGCTCTGATCTTCGTTATTTCTTGTCTTCTGCTAGCTTTTGAATTTGTTTGCTCTTGCTTCTCTAGTTCTTTTAATTGTGATGTTAGGGTGTCAATTTCAGATCTTTGCTGCTTTCTCTTGTGGGCATTTAGTGCTATAAATGTCCCTCTACACACTGCTTTAAATGTGTCCCAGAGATTCTGGTACGTTGTGTCTTTGTTCTCACTGGTTTCAAAGAACAGCTTTATTTCTGCCTTCATTTCGTTATTTACCTAGTAGTCACTCAGGAGCAGGTTGTTCAGTTTCCATGTAGTTGTGCAGTTTTGAGTGAGTTTCTTAATCCTGAGTTCTAATTTCATTGCACTGTGGTCTGAGGGACAGTTTGTTGTGATTTCTCTTCTACATTTGCTGAGGTGTGCTTTACTTCCAACTATGTGGTCAATTTTGGAATAAGTGTGATGTGGTGCTGAGAAGAAAGTATATTCTGTTGATTTGGGGTGGAAAGCTCTGTAGATGTCTATTAGGTCAACTTGGTGCAGAGCTGAGTTCAAGTCCTGTATATCCTTGTTAACCTTCTGTCTCATTGATCTTTCTAATATTGAGAGTGGGGTGTTAAAGTCTCCCATTATTTTTGTGTGAGAGTCTAAGGGATGCAAGTCTGGTTCAACATATGCCAATCAATAAACATAATCCATGGCATAAACAGAACCAAAGACAAAAACTATCTGATTATCTCGATAGATGCAGAAAAGGCCTTTGACAAAATTCAACAGCACTTCATGCTAAAAACTCTCAATAAACTTGGTATTGATGGAATGTATCTCAAAATAATAGGAGCTATTTATGACAAACCCACAGCCAATATCATACTGAATGGGCAAAAGCTGGAAGCGTTCCCTTTGAAAACTGGCACAAGACAGGGATACCCTCTGTCACCACTCATATTCAATAGTGTTGAAAGTTCTGGCAAGGGCAATCAGGCAAGAGAAAGCAATAAAGGGTATTCAATTAGGAAAAGAGAAAGTCAAATTGTCCCTGTTTGCAGATGACATGATTGCATGTTTAGAAAACCCCATCGTCTCAGCCCAGAATCTCCTTAAGCTGAAAAGCAACTTCAGCAAAGTCTCAGGATACAAAATCAATATGCAAAAATCACAAGCATTCCTATACGCCAATAACAGACAAACAGAGAGCCAAATCATGAGTGAACTCCCATTCACAATTGCTACAAAGAGAATAAAATACCTAGGAATATAACTTAGAAAGGATGTGAAGGACCTCTTCAAGGAGAACTACAAACCACTGCTCAACGAAATAAAAGAGGGACACAAACAAATGGAAGAACATTCCATGCTCATCACAGGAAGAATCAATTTCATGAAAATGGCCGTACTGCCCAAAGTAATTTATAGATTCAATGCCATCCCCATCAAGCTACCAATGACTTTCTTCACAGAACTGGAAAAAACTACTTTTAAGTTTACATGGAACCAAAAAAGAGCCCACATTGCCAAGAAAATCCTAAGCAAAAAGAACAAAGCTGGAGGCATCATGCTACCTGACTTCAAACTATACTACAAGGCTACAGTAATCAAAACAGCATGGTACTGGTACCAAAACAGAGATATAGACCAATGGAACAGAACGGAGGCCTCAGAAATAACACCACACATCTATAACCATCTGATCTTTGACAAACCTGACAAAAACAATAAATAGGGAAAGGATTCCCTACATAATAAATGGTGCTGGGAAAACTGGCTAGCCATATGTAGAAAGCTGAAACTGGATCCCTTCCTTACACCTTATACAAAAATTAATTCAAGATGGCTTAAAGACTTAAATGTTAGACTTAAAACCATAAAAACCCTAGAAGAAAACCTAGGCAATACCATTCAGGACATAGGCATGGGCAAGGACTTCATGACTAAAACATCAAAAGCAAAGCAACAAAAGCCAAAATTGACAAACGTTATCTAATTAAACTAAAGAGCTTCTGCACAGCAAAAGAAACTACCATCAGAGTGAACAAGCAACCTACAGAATGAGAGGAAATTTTTGCAATCTACTCATCTGACAAAGGGCTAATATCCAGAATCTACAAAGAACTGAAACAAATTTACAAGAAAAAATCAAACAACCCCATCAAAAAGTGGGTGAAGGATATGAACAGACTCTTCTCAAAAGGAGACAGTTATGCAGCCAACAGACACGTGAAAAAATGCTCATCATCATTCTCTGATAGAGAAATGCAAATCAAAACCACAATGAGATAACATCTCATACCAGTTAGAATGGCGATCATTAAATAGTCAGGAAACAACAGGTGCTGGAGAGGATGTGGAGAAATAGGAATGTTTTTACACTGTTGGTTGGAGTGTAAACTAGTTCAACCATTGTGGAAGACAGTGTGGCGATTCCTCAAGGATCTAGAACTAGAAATATCATTTGACCCAGCAAATCCATTTCTAGGTATATACCCAAAGGATTACAAATCATGCTACTATAAAGACACATGCACACATAAGTTTATTGTGGCATAATTCACAATAGCAAAGACTTGGATCCAACCCAAATGTCCATCAATGATAGACTGGATTAAGAAAATGTGGCACATATACACCATGGAATACTATGCAGCCATGAAAAAGAAGAGTTCATATCCTTTGTAGGGACATGGAAACCATCATTCTCAGCAAACTATCTCAAGGACAGAAAACCAAACACCACATGTTCTCACTCATAGGTGGGAATTGAACAATGAGAACACTTGGACACGGGGCTGGGAGCATCTCACACCAGGGCCTGTTGTGGGGTAGGAGAGGGGAGGGATAGCATTAGGAGAAATATGTAATGTAAATGACGGGTTAATGGGTGCAGCAAACCAACATGACACATGTATACATATGTAGCAAACCTTTACGTTGTGCACATGTACCCTAGAACTTAACGTATAATTAAAAATATAAATAAATAAAGAAAGAAAGAATAAAAGGGAAAAACAGTTCCTTATACCTCAAAGTTTTTTTATTTTTATTTTTTACAAAAATATGCATCTTACCTTTCTTATATACTTGCTTATATAAGTTGCTTTGATTATTATTTCAGGTGAATTTAATTACATCTATTAATTACAAATTTTTTTTTGAGAAGGAATCTCACTCTGTTGCCAAGACTGGAGTGCAGTGGCACAACCTCAGTTCACTACAACCTCTACCTCCCAGGATCAAGTGATTCTCTGGTTTCAGCCTCCCAAGTAGCTGGGACTATAGGCATGTGCCACCATCCCCAGGTAATTTTTGTATTTTTAGTAGAGATGAGGTTTCACTGTGTTGGCCAGGCTGGTCTCAAACTCCTGACCTCAAGTGATCTACCTGCCTCGGCCTCCCAAAATGCTGAGATTACAGGCGTGAGCCACCGTGGCTGGCCTAATTACAATTTTTAACCTTTAGTACTTCTAATTTCTAGTAAAAACTAGGAAGCAATAAATCGTGAATGGTCACATGCCAACATTCTGTAATTTAATACCATTTCATTTTGTCTACAAGCATCTGCTTTCTCATAGTATGATTTTTCAGTGTCATACAGAACATGTTTACTAACAGATCTAAGTATCTTTATTTAGTCTCTCTGTATTAAAAAGCTGAGTAGAGGTTAAAACTGTATTCATTTTTTGACTTTAAATTTTATTTTAGATGTGCAGGTTCGTCACATGCATATATTGCATAATGGTGAGGTTTGAGCTTCCAGTGTACCATCCTTTAAATAGTGCAAACTGTACACAATAGGTAATCTTTTAAATCCTCACCCCTCCTTCTCTCTCCCTGCTTTTGGATTTCCCAGTATCTATTAGTTTCATCGTTACATCCATGTGTACCTATTGTTTAGCTCTCACTTTTAGTGAGAAAATGTGGTATTTGAATTAGTGTTTCTGTGTTATTTCACTTAGGGTAATGGCTCCATTCATCCTCCAGCTCCATCTATGTTGCTGCAAAAGACACAATTTCTTTTTTTTTTTTTTGAGACGGAGTCTTGCTCTGTCGCCAGGCTGGAGTGCAGTGGCGCAATCTCGGCTCACTGCAAGCTCCGCCTCCCGGGTTCATGCCACTCTCCTGCTTCAGCCTCCCCAGTAGCTGAGACTACAGGCGCCCGCCACCACACCTGGCTAATTTTTTTTTTTTCAGTAGAGATGGGGTTTTACCCATGTTCGCCAAGATGGTCTCGATCTCTTGATCTCGTGATCCGCCTGCCTTGGCCTCCCAAAGTGCTGAGATTACAGGTATGAGCCACCACGCCTGGCCACAATTTCATTATTTTTATGACTGCATAGTATTCTGTGGTAGATATATACTACATCGTCTTTATACAACCCACCATTAGTGAACACTTTGGTTGATTTTATGTCTTTGTATTGTGAACAGTACTACAATAAACATGACTGCAGGTGTCTTTTGGACATAATTATTTCTTTTGGTAGATGCTCAGTAGTGGGATTGCTGGGTCAAATGATAGTTCTATTTTTGGTTCCTTGAGAAATCTTCATACCGTTTTCCATAGAGGTTATACTAATTTACATTCCCATCAACAGTGTATAAGGGTACCCTTTCCTCTGCATCTATGCTAATATCTGACGTTTATTGACTTTGTAATAACAGTCTTTCTGACTATGTAAGATGATACTGTGGTTCTAATTTACATTTCTCTAACGCTTAGTGATGTTGAGCATTTTTTTCATTTTAGTTGACCACTTGTGTGTCTTCTTTTGAGAAATGCCTGTTCATGTCATTTGCCCACTTTTTAATGGGATTGCTTTCTTTGCTTGAGTTTTTTTAGTTCATTTTATATTCTGTACATTAATTCGTTATCAGAGGCATACTTTGCAAATATTTTCTTTCATTATGTAGGTTGTCTATTTGTTGATCTTTTCTTTATTTGGCTGCAGAAAAAATTTTAAATTTAATTAAGTCCCATTTGTCCATTTGTTTATTTATTTTTGAGGTGGAGTCTCACTCTGTTGCCCAGGCTGGAGTACAGTGGCACGATCTCAGCTCACTGCAACCTCCACCTCCCGGGTTCAAGCAATTCTCCTGCCTCGTCTCCTGAGTAGCTGGGATTACAGGCGCCCACCACCATGCCTAGCTAATTTTTGTTTTTTTAGTAGAGACAGGGTTTCACCATGTTGGCCAGGCTAGTCTCGAACTCCTGACCTCGTGATCCACCCACCTTGGCCTCCCAAAGTGCTGGGATTACAGGTGTGAGCCACCACTCCCAGCCCACTTTTGTTTTTGTTGCATTTGCTTTTGGGATCTTAGTTATAAATTTTTGCCTAGGCCAACGATAGGAGGTTTACACATTTTCAGGTCTTACACTGATGTCTTTAATCCATCTTGCACTACTTTTTGTATATGGTAAGAAATAGAGGCCCAGTGTCACTCTTCTCCTATGGCTAGCTAATTTCCTCAGCACGTTTTATTGAATAAAGTATCTCTTTGCATTGCTTATTTATGTCAACTTTGCCAAAGATCAGTTGGTTGTACATAGGTGGCTTTACTTCTGAGTTTTCTATTCTGTTCCTTTTGTCTATGTGTTTATTTTTGTACCAGTACAGTACTGTTTTAGTTACTATAACATTATAGTATTATTTGCAGTAAGAGAATGTGATTCTTTCAGCTTTATTCTTTTTGCTTACAATTGCTTTGGATATTTGGGCTCTTCATATCAACTTTAGAATTGTTTTATCCAATCCTGTGAATAATGACAGTGGTCATTGGTAACTCTTAGGGATCCTGTTTAATCTGCAGATTGAATTGGGCCATGTGGTCGTTTAAGTGACATTGAGTTTTCCAATCCATGAGCATAAAATGTTTTTTTCATTCGTCTGCGCCATCTATAATTTTTTTCACCAATGTTTCGTAGTTCTTCTTGTAGAGACATTTTACCTCCTTTGTCAGATTTATGTCTAGATATTTTTTGTGACTATTACAAATGGGATTGAGTACTTGATTTGATTCTCACCCTGAATGTTACTGGCATATAAAAATGCTACTGATTTTTGTATGTTGATTTTGTATTCTGGAATTGTTTTGAAGTAATTTATCAAGTCTAGGAGTCTTTCGGAAGACTCTTTAGGATTTATAGGTATAAGATTATGTCATTAGTGAACAAAGATAATTTAACTTTCTCTTTTCCAATTTGAATGTTTTTTATTTCTTTCTCTTGCTAAAATGGTCTGGCCAGGACTTCTAGTACTATGTTAAATAGGAGTAGTGAGAGTGGACATCCTTGTTTTGTTCCATTTCTTAGGTGGGATGCTTTCAACCTTTCTCCATTCAGTATGATGTTGGCTGTGGATGTGTCATAATTAGCTCTTATCATTTTGAGGTATGTTCCTTCTATGCTCACTTTGTTGAGGGTTTTTATCATAAGGGATTTTTAAAATTTATTAAGTATTTTTCTGCATCTATTGATGTGATCATATAGTTTTAGTTATTATTATGTTTATTGAATCACATTTAATGATATGCTAATGTTGAAAGATCTTTGCATCCCTGGAATAAAACCTACTTCATTATAGTGAATTAAGTTTTTGATGTGCTGTTGGAGTCAGTTTGCCAGTATTTTGTTGGGGATTTTGCATCTATGTTCATCAGGGATACTGGCCTATAGTTTGCTTTTATGTTACTGTGTCCTTGCCTGATTTTGGTAGCAAAATGATACCAGTTTTATAGAATGAGATAAAGAGGAAACCCTCCTCTTTTGTTTTTTAGAATAGTTCCAGGAAGATTTTTACCAGCTTGTTTTTGTATGTCTGGTAAACTTTGACTGTGAATCTGTTGATCTTCAAGGAGTACATGTGCAGGTGGGGTGGAAGTTTTTTTATGACTGATTCAATTTCATCACTTATTACTCCTGTCCAGAATTTGTCTCTTTCTGGTTCAATCTTGGGAGGTTGTATGTTTTCAGGAATTTATGTATTTTCTCTAGGTTTTACAGTTTATGCACATAGAGATATTCATAGTAATTACTGATGATCTTTTGTATTTCTGGGGTATCAGTTGTGATGTCATCTTTATAATTTTGATTGTACTTATTTAAATATCCTCTCTTTTTCCTTGGTTAAAGTAGCCAGTGGTCTATCAATTTTGTTTATCCTTTCAGATAACTGGGTTTTCATTCCGTTGATTCTTTATATCATTTTTTGTCTCAATGTCATTTAGTTATACCCAATATCATTGGGTATTAGAAAGTTGCATATTAAATCCATGATGAAATATATTTCTTTACATATTGGAATGTTTAAAATGAAAAAGACTAACTGTTGTCAAGGAATTCAGAGTAATTGTAACCCTCACTCACTGTTGCTATAAAGTGGTATAAACACTTAGCAAAACAGTTTGGTAATTTCTTAAAAGGTTAAACATATATCTAGTTATAATCTAGCTGTTACATAACTAGTTATTTATCCAGGAGAAATGGAAGCATAGATCCCTATAAATACTTCACATAAATATGCACAGCAGCTTTATTGATAGTAGGCAAAAATGATGGATAAGGGAAATGTTCACTAACAGGTGAATAATAAACAAACCTGTGCATCAACCCAATAGAATACTGCCTAACCATAAGAAGGAATGCATTATTGACATACTCTACAGCATGAAGGTCACACAATAATTATGCTGAGTAAAAGAAATTAGGCTTAAGAAACATGCAAGACAATAACAAAAAATACTGTATAATTCCATTGATAATAAAACTCTAGAAAATTGAAACTAATGTATAGTAACAGAAAGCAGATAATGTTTGCCTGGGGGAAATGGGGGGCATGAGGAGATGTAGTAGGGAATAATTGTATGGCCAATGGGAACATTTATAAAATATTAGATACAGTCATTTTGATTTTGGTGATAGTTTCACAAGTATCAAATTTATTTCAAAGTTATCAATCATATTTAATTTGTTATATCTCAATTATATTTGAATAAAACTGTTTAAAACAGCCAGTATAGAAATCAAAATGGAACTCTATAAAAATATAATAATTTAAAAAGCTGAAAGTAAGGAAAAAGAAAAGAAGTAAAGGCAACAAAAACCCCACAAAATCAACTTAAAGCAAATAACATTAGATATTAATGGACTAAAATCCAATTAAGAGGCAGAGAATTGCATAATAATAAGTAAAAAGTAAGACTCATCTTTATCCTGTTTCAAAGCGATGTTATTTTGTCTAATTATATTTACATATTTACATTCGACAGAGGTAAGCTAAAATTAAATAACTGAAAGAGGCATTCAAACATCGATGTATTCAGAAAGTTCAGAAAACATTTCAAATATATGTTGTATGGTAACCAGTAAAGACCATAAGCTGTAGGACAAGCATCAAAAATTTTATGAAAATGGAATGTTTTCTTATGATGATATAATATAAATAAATTAAAATCAATAAATATATCTAACAATCTCAAATGAACTTTATATTTAATAATTCATGGTTCAAATATGAAGTAAAAGAAAATAAAAACATACCTAGAACTGAGTAATATTTAAAGCATACCATATCAAAACTTGTAAAAAGCAGCTAAGGCAGTGAATAAAAGGAAATATAATTACATATATTTAAATGGAGAATAATCTGACATCTATTATTTTTTCCCCTAAGAATCTAGAAAACATTAAGCCTTAACATAAGTAGAAAAAAATAAGATTAATTAGAGAATTTAAAACAATATAGAGAAAAATCAATTAAGTCAAATAGTTGTTTATCTAAAAAGTATAATGAAACTTATGTTTTTATTTGTTCTTTGGCAGCTATAAAAATTCACCACTCAGCTCTCCTTCTGCAGTAGCATAATTTATCAATAACTCTACCTGCTGTACACTGCAAAGATCACTGATTTGCCCGGAGGTCACAGGCTGCTTCCAGTGAATGACAGCATAGCAGGGATCCTGAAGGAAATTATAAGCTCAAGCATATTATTGTGAATATATAAGTAGTAATTGTCCAATATTAAAATGAAACTAATATAGTCAAATTAATTCTCAAAAATAAAAATACAGTTTAAAGCTAGGAAAGCTTTAAATATGTTTATTACATTAAGGCAAAAACATATGTTAATTACAGTTGTTATAGAAATCATATTTGATAAAATTCAACATCTGGTCATAGTTTTAAAAACATGTCACTTGGAATGAAGACATTGTCAAATGGAATGAAATAATAATCACTGGACATTAAAGAGATCCTAGAGGTAAAAGCTTACATACATAGAACGTGGTTATCTAGCCAATAATAAATATCAGGTTGATGTGAAGGAGTTTCTATTCAATAAATGAAGTTGTAAAAATTCAGTATCAACATGATAGAAATGAAATAAAATCTCCTGATTTACTTCAGACAAAAAATGTAGCTGCAGACTGACAGAAACTCAAATATCAAAAGGAAAAGGAAAAATAAAACTTACAAGAAAATCTAAGAGAGTATTTTTTAAACTTTGAAGTAAAGTAGATATTTTTTAAATCACCGAACTATCTCTTATAAAAGATTAATAGACATGGTTACATTTGAATAAAAAATATACATTTAATTATTAGGCATCATAAAAGATGTGAAAAGACAAGCCACATTGCAAAACTAAACATACTCCTGCCATATGATCCAGCAGTTGTGCTCCTTGGTATCTACCTAAAGCAGTTGAGAACACACATCCACACAAAAACCTGCACACCAAGATTTATATTAGCTTTATTCATAATTGTCAAAACTTGTAAGCAACTGAGGCATACAGTGTAACTAACTGGATAAATAAACTGTGGTACATCAAAAAATGGAATATTATTTAGTACTAAAAAATGAACTTTCAAACCATGAAAAGACATGGATGAAACATAAATCCATATTATTAAGTGATAGAAGCCAATCTGAAATGGCTACATACTGTATGATTCCAACAATATGACATTCTGGAAAAGATGAAATCATGGAACTAGTAAATACAACAGTGGTTTCCACATGGCAGGTTGAGGGAAGGGTGAGTAGGTCAAACACAGGGGATATTTAGGGCAGTGAAAATGTTCTGTATGACACTGTAATGATACATGCCATTGTACATGGATAATGGATGCAAGTTATCATATATTTGTCCAAACCTAATGTATAAGACAAAGGGTGAGCCCCAATTTAAACTGTAAACTTTGATTCATAATGACATAGCAATTGGGGTCATCAATTCCAAAAAGCATGACTCTGATGGGGGAAGTTGAAAATGGAAATGACTATGGATGTGTGGGGGCAGAGAGTATTTGGGAAATATTTGTACCTTCCTTGATTTTGCTTCTCTAAAAGAATAAAGTCTTTGAAAAAAGACAAGTCATGAATTGAAAAATTATATATATTCAATATATCTATGATAAAGGATTAGCCTCAAATATATAGAGACAAATTTTGTAATCTAATTAAAATAATTAGCTATATAATAAAACGAACAAAAGGCAAGACTAGACATATCATAAAAGAGAAAAAACAGCAATAGATTTATGATGAGAAGCTCAACCATGCTAGTAATCATGGAAGTGTGAAATCTAAACCAAAATGAAGTATCATTTTTCAACCACTTCCATTCATGTAATTATGATGTCTGACAATATGAAGTATTGAAGAGAATGCTGCTCAATATAATTCTTTTTGTATTATTAGTAATATAGTAAAAACCCACCTTGAAAGACAGTTTGCTATATCTAGAGAACTTCAAGGTTTACATACCTTAAAACCCAGTTATTCTACTCCTAGTTATATACCTGATACAAATTTGAATATCTAGATTTCCGGAAACAGACAAATTAATGTGCATAGCATTACTGTTCACAAACAACTCCAATGTTTATATGTATATCTAGATAACTATACAATGTTCTGTCTTTATCTCTCTTTCTTTCCAAGCACACATACACACACACACAGGCACACTCATGCACAGGTGTATTACAAAGCAATACAAATGAATGCTTTATAGATGTATACATTTATTTATTGCTCTAATGTTTACAAACAATCAATGATTATAATGTAAGGCACTATATCATTATAATTGTTTAAAAACAATTATAATTGTAATGTAAGTCACTATATGGCCACTAGAGTGGATTTCTAGATTGGATTTCCAATCAAACTCAGTAGACACAATAGGCAAACTTAGCACTAAGTTATGTTTAGGAAAGGATATAGCATCATTCACAGCAGCAGGATCGTGGAAGTTTTAATCACCCAGATGTGACACCTGATGTCCCCAAACATCCTATAGGATGAATTTGTTTTCATGGATGATGACAAGAACTGACATGTAAGTCTAGGTCTCAAGTGACAAAGGGAACTGAAAATTTTAGGTTGACTCAGCTTAATTTACTCAAGTCATTGTCACCTGGAGAGGCAGATGCTATGCTGCCATTTGTTAGTGCACTCAAAATCCACATTTCCACAATACATAATCCCGATAACAGCACTTCTAGAGGCATTCCAGTAAAGTAGTCCCCTTACCTGTGGGAAATACTTTTGAAGACCCCCTAGTAAATACCTGGTACTACAGACAGTACAGAACTTTATCATATTTTATCCCATATGTACTTATGATATCAACACCTGGTTCTGTGGACAGTACAGAACCCTACTATATACTATGATTTTTCCTATACATGCTTATAAATTAAATTAATTTATAAATTAGACAAGGAAGAACTTACTTGCTTGCCTAACAATAATAACTAATAACAAAATAGGCATTACCTATTATTAGGAATTATTTGTCTGATAATAATAACTAATAATAAAAGAGAACAATTATAACAATATACTACAAAATGTTATTTGAATGTGATCTCTCACTTTCTCTCTCAAAACATCTTACTGTACTGTAAAGTGGGTAGCTGAAACCATGGAGAGCAAAACTGTGGATAAGGAGGGACTATCATACTCATTAATTAGTACATAGATCACAGTTAAAGCCTCCCAATGAATATATACCTTTAGATGACTCTACAAAAAATGTGACTAAAGGTTAACTTTATTCAAGCATCCCTGAGGCAGGACGAAAAAAATCACAACCAAATTAACTCTTTAAAAATAATTTAAAAAAATAACAAATATAACTTTAGAATCATGGAAGTAAAACATATCTAGTCCATGGTGGTTGTTAGCTTGGAAGAAAGGCAGTTAGCATAAGATGGAGGGGAACACAGGAATAGAGAGCTGAGGAATTTTAGTGCTATGTTCTAGTTTTTCTTTACAAGTGGTAAAGTTCATATGTGCAAGTTACATTAAAAAATACAAAATTAATGAAAACAAAATAAATTTATTTAAATGCGTTTAGGTCCAGGCACGGTGCTCATGCCTGTAATCTCAGCACTTTGGGAGGCTAAGGCGGGTGGATCACTTGAGGTCAGGAGTTCGAGAACAGCCTGGCCAACATGGTGAAACCCCATCTCTACTAAAAATACAAAAATTAGCCAGGCATGGTGGTGGGCACCTGTAATCCCAGCTACTCAGGAGGCTGAAGCAGGAGAATCGCTTGAACCCTGGAGTTGGAGGTTGTGGTGAGCTGAGATCGTGCTACTGCACTCCAGCCTGGACGACAGAGCCAGACTCTGTCTTCAAAAAAAAAAAGTTTGTAAAGGCTTAGACATAAATTAATGCTGAAGATGAATGAAAATTTATATGCCTGAGAATTTTAACATCTGGGAGCAGTCTTGTGTTTTTCCTTATAAAGTAAAATATTTCAGAAAAAAAAAAACTAAAGACATTGCCCTAGGTAAATGTTGCTTTGAAGACAGAGAAAGAGAGACAGAGACAGGGGACAGGGGAGGGTATTTTATCACATCAGCAAAATTCTGTTATAAGTACTTGGAAAATTTGTTTTTTTTCTTATTTTTTTGTTCTCCCTAATGACTCATTTAGCTGAATTTTTAAACAACTGGCATATTTGATTATAGCAACTGTAAGTATTTTTTTCTTTTTTAGCCAAACTTTTAAATAGTTTATGATTATAATGCTACCCTTACTATTTGATGAGTGATTACTTTATGCTAGTCACCATACTTTACATGGCTTATGTTATCATCACAATATATTAGATGGATATGTAAATATAAATTCTACTCATGAAAAAATCAAGGTTAAGTTAGGTAATATAATAAACCAAGTATTTCAGGAAAGCTCTCAAAGTATGTTTCTTTGTTCTCACACCACTACAGCAATCATTAACACAGAGGAAGACTTCTGTGACCAAATGTGTGAGGCATTTTCCCCACACAACAAGCAGCGGACGCCAGCTGGGTTTCCTCCAATTTAATTCCAACACTATCTACCTGGACATAGTGTTAGATCCCATGGATTGATACGTCAGTCCCCAAGACTGCACTCTACCCTGCCACTGGACAACGGTAGCAAGTCCAGGCCTCTGAAAATTCTAACTTCAACATGAGTTCTCATGACCCCGTCTTTATTTCACAGAAACACTTATATTTACTAGTTTATTATAAAGGATGTTGCAAATGATACAAACGAAGAGATGTGTAGAGTGAGGTATTGGGAAAGGGGCACTCAGCTTCCATGCTGTCCGTGGGTGAGCCAGCCTTCAGGAACCTCCATGTGTTTATCTATCCAGAAGCTTTCTAAACCTAGTCTTCTTGAGTTTTTATGGAAGTGTCATAAGGTCAACATTTCTTCCCCCAAGGTATAGAATGGGGATCCTCTCTGAGGAGCATCTTATGACCCACAATCAGAAAGGCAAGGGAGGTTAGAATCCTGCCTTAGGGCGGGCAAGAGGCCAGGAGAAAATTGGACAGATTCTGTTTCTTGAGCTCTGCTCTTGAGGCCTTATACACCCAACGTTATAAATGAGCCTCTCATTCAGACAATGAGTTCCAAATCTGAAAACTCTTTAGGGTCCTAAAATTACACAAGTGGTAATAGCTAATTAATTGTGGTAATTGCCTTCAGTCTTCTGATATTCTACCCTTCGTTAGTTAATTATGCAAAGGACTTGCTGTCCATCAATATTGTTTCTTAAAACCCCATGTTTTGTTGATTATCTATGAAGATCTCAGAGTTAGAGCCTTTTGACTACTATTTTGACCTTGCAGTTTATTACAATAATTGCCTTACTTCTGACGGTTAAGTATTCCTGTCGGTTTTTATCATATTGGGCTCCTATTATCTCCATTGATTAAGGGAAGTCCAGTTCTGGAACATTATCTTCTGTCAGCCCTAACTACTACTAATTTTTTAACTGATACTGATATCTATTTTATTTATTATCATCTCTTTTATCAAGTGGTAAAGTGGAGGGCTTTTGAGGTCCTCTTGCAGATTATAGTCAGGTGGTAGGTGTTTACCTGTTGAATCATGTCCCCTCAAGATTTATATGTTGAAATCCTCACTCCCTGTACATACAAAAGTAACATTATTTGGCCAGGCGCGGTGGCTCAGGCCTGTAATCCCAGCACTTTGGGAGGCGGAGGCGGGCGGATCACGAGGTCAGGAGACTGAGACCATCCTGTCTAACATGGTGAAACCCCGTCTCTACTAAAAATACAAAAAAATTAGCCAGGCGTGGTGGCAGGCACCTATAGTCCCAGCTACTCGGGAGGCTGAGGCAGGAGAATGGCATGAACCCGGGAGGCAGAGCTTGCAGTGAGCGGAGATCCCGCCCCTGCACTCCAGCCTGGACGACAGAGCAAGACTCCGTCTCAAAAAAAAAAAGTAATATTATTCAAAAATTACCATGCACCCACAATTTTAAAAAATAGGGTCATTTCACATATAGTTAGTTAAGATGTGAGGTCATACTGAATAGGGTGATTCTCTAATCAATATAAGCGATGCTCTTAAAAATAAGGGAAATTTGAAAATAGACATACACACAGAGAGAAAGCTATGTGAAGATGAAGGCAGAGATCAGAGTGGTACTTTTGCAAGCCAAGAAATGTCAGATTTCCAGCAGACTACCAGAAACTTAGGTGAGATGATGGAACAGATTCTCTCAGAGCCCTTAGGAGGAAACAAATCTGCTGACCTCTTATTATTGGACTTCAAATGAGAGAATCATGAGAAAATCAATGTCTGCTGTGTAAGAAAACCAGTTTGTGGTTCTTTGTTATGGCAGTTCTGGAAAATGAATAGAGTAGATTTTCTGTACAGTATTTCAAGTCTTACATGTTCATTTCTCTAAGTCTTTTGATCCCCTCCTCAATTGTCTTCAATGAAAGGTCTGGTCTTTCTACTCACCTTCTTTGAACCATTATGTACTCAACTCTCTAAGAATCATTTCAGCAACATCTTAGCACTATTTCTGGAGTCCTTTTTAGGGTGTTATATCCTGTTTCACATATCAATGAACTCTCTCTTGGCAAATATTATTTTCTGCTCTTTTTTCCATACCACTCTGAGGATGCAGGCACATATTCTCTTCAGGATCTTCTGGTTTGGGTCATTAGACCTTTTGGCTCCTTTGAGGAGTACTTCCTTTCCTCCTGTGACAGATCCAGGCTCTGTGTGGCCAGATTGCATTCTAAATTTACTCTGATTATTGGTTTGTTGACCAAGAAAGAAGTTGGGATGGATTCGGAGATTAGCTGTTGAGAAGTATGTTTTGTTTTGCCATATGAAGGTATTTTCGTTATCTTCCAGCAATGAGGAAGTGCAGTGACTGAGTCACTGTTGTGTTAGCAGGCACAGAATCTTCAGGGAATCTAAGGATTTAACATTTTTAAGAACATCAATAGGAATGTCCACGGAAGGAGAGGTTCTTCCCTAACAGTGTAGCGTACTTGCTAAGGTTTATAATTCAACTTTCTCTGGAGCTATGCTTCAATTCAAATTAAAAGTCGAGAGCCTGATCCTAGCATTATCACTGCTCCATCAGCTGGAGATAAATGATTCTTTGTATGCTACTAAGAAAATATTCTGGTTTCATTCTTTCCCAAAAATAAGTATTAAATCTCCCTCAGCCTTTTGTTGTCTTTCTCCAATGACTTGATAAACTTCAGAAATAGCCATCTAATTTCTTACTCTTATAATTACTCCTTCCCGTAAACATCTCAAATGCCTGAGATATGGGACCTACCAGAGCATTCTGTTTCCTCAGTATGCTGCCCCATTTTACCACCAGCTACTACAGTTTAGCAATTGCACCATTCGAGCTTGCTAAAGATTATTTGTGTTCCTGAGAATGATGGTTTCCAGCTTCAACCATGCCCATACAAAGGACATGAACTCATCATTTTTTATGGCTGCATAGTATTCCATGGTGTATATGTGCCACATTTTCTTAATCCAGTTTATCATTGATGGACATTTGGGTTGGTTCCAAGTCTTTACTATTGTGAATAGTGCCTCAATAAACATATGTGCGCATGTGTCTTTAGAGCAGCAAGATTTATAATCCTTTGGGTATATACCCAGTAATGGGATGGCTGGGTCAGGTATTTCTAGTTCTAGATCCTTGAGGAATCACCACACTGTCTTCCACAATGGTTGAACCAGTTTACAGTCCCACTGACAGTGTAAAAGTGTTCCTATTTCTCCACATCCTCTCCAGAACCTGCTGTTTCCTGACTTTTTAATGATTGCCATTCTAACTGGTGTGAGATGGTATCTCATTGTGGTTTTGATTTGCATTTCTCTGATGGCCACCTTCAGCCAATTATGAGGTCCTTTTCCATTGCTAGGCAGACAATAGGCGGTAAAGTTCCTGCATCCCATTTTTAGAACCTGCATAATAGGGACAATTTTGTTCCAACTGTCTCAGGTTAGGTTCCCTAGGAAACAGACTCACATCTATATTTGCATGCAGAAAGTTTACTAGGAAATGCTTTGGGGAATAATATCTTTAAGGAGGTCAGAGTAGTAGGATTTGGCAGATGGAGAAGTTAAACTGCCATGAGTGGGTTGTAAATTTGATTAAGACAACACCCTTTAGCAGAGGGCAATTCTAGGAGAGTTGAATTGTGAGTAGCCCAGAACTGGAGAAATTAGTTCTTTAGTTTGACTTCAGTGGCATCTCACTGTGTCCATTATGCATTATATTTGCTCCAGAGTTTATTGAAAAAGGAATTTACAGTATATTTTTTATTTCATTGATTTATTTTCATTTTCCCAGTTGCTTTTTTTTCTTTCTGAGGAAAAAGCGTGGAGAAGATTGGTTATAAAACTATATTAATATCAGAAATATACGTGACTTTTAAAAATTACATATATACCTGCAAAAGATGAAGCTGTGCCTCATCTTCTCCTGTAAATCTTGTCAGTGTCACACTACTAGGTAATGTGTGTTGAATTCATTTGGATATTGAATTCAAACTACATATGTTACATATATTGACCTATAAATAAGATCATTTTGAATAGAAACCTTAGAAGAAGATATGGGATAAGTTATTCCCTAATGATTTATGTAGAAAATTTTAAAACATAAAATCAGTGTGAATCAGAAGAATCCTTTTTTCTATAAAGTGTTACATCGAAGTGGTTCTCAACCTTTTCAAGAAATGATTAAATAAAAGAGAATGTTTGAACATCTACTGGAAATTTGATCTGTCCTAAAATGATCATTACACAACTCAAAACATCTTAGAAATCTCTTGTTTCAGAGTAAAACAATAATTATGACATTTTAAATCATACTTTATAATGTAGCCTCATTTGTTTTAATATAAAAATGTGTAAAGATATGTAAAGACTCATCCTGTAGCCATCAGTCTTTTGTCCTAATTCACTTAGGCTAAAGTCCTTAGATTTACCCTGGCCACTTACCTTTCCCTTATACCTAGTCCACTTTCAGCCTACCATTAAATCCTATTTTTCTGACTGTGAAACATATCTAAGCTCAAAATATATCCAAACCACCCAGACCACTATGGCTTTGGTTTCATAGAGTTTTCCTAATCCCTCTCTCAGAACTGCTCATGATACTAGTAAATTGTGGCCATCAGGTTGATACAATGTTACAGTATATAACCAAGACATATTGGCCATTGATTCATTTCTCTTCTACTTCATAAACTCCCCTGTGAGTAAAGAAGATACATATCTTCAATAAACTCAATGGAGGAAATGAAATGTTTCTCTTTTATCTTTGCACATTATGAAACACCTAATAAGGAGTTCATATGTACTAAAAAGCAGGAAGAATGAGCTAATGTTTGACTCTTTTGGTCAGGTTTTCCCTGCTTTGCAGTTACATACATGTAAAGAGAGGCTGCAGATCTCTCTACATATGTGGATTTGGATAACAGCTCACTGTACTTCAATATTATGCACATCCTAACTAAACATATTTTGTTCTGAATTATCAAAAGTCCCTAAAGTAAATCAACTGCACTTTCCAGGCACTCCTAAAGCGCAGTCCTCAGGGATAGTATTTAATTATCCAGCCTTATTGATGTCAAAAATTCTATCCAAGAAAGAACATACAGAGTTTTAGAATCTTATAATATGCCTGCAGATTTTTGGAAGTGTGTGATAATCATATATTCATAAAAATATACTAAAGCCAAATATTAAAATATAGATTTTAATCTACATATATACAATATAAATATGTATACATCATACTTATGTGAGCATAGGTAAATCCTCTTCTAGGATAAGTGGGAGATATATGCCTTAATAAGGAATGCCTACTTATCTATTAATTTGTGCATTTTTATATTAATACATTTATTATAGAACTAATATCCCAATTGGAAATTTAAACAATGATAAACTATATGGGCATCAAAAATAAAGAACCTCTCAAAAACCTTAATTGAAGCAATCATGTCTTTGTTCTGTAAAAGGTGAAGAACTTTATATATTTTACATAAAAATAATTTTTCACAATTCTAATTTGTAACTGAAATTTTTATGCAAACCTTATTATGGCAGATGGATTTTCTTTATTCTATTTGTTTCTGCTGGAATTTTACCATAAAATCATTCTTTGATTGCAAAGTTTTCTTTTAGACTAGTCTAAGAGAACAAAAAAGACAATTCAATGATTATATATTTCATATTTATTTTAAAATACTGTAATACAAAAATATTATTGCTTGTGTCCATTATATTGTCCTAGATTTCTGAAATATTATTCCTGTTGACCCATGACATTCTGTTTTCTTATTGCAAGCTTTCTCTGTTTGTTTCTATCATAGTTTTCTGAGATCTCTGGTTTTATGTTCTTTATTTATCTTTTTCCTACTCTTTAAAGAAATAAAAAAAAAACTCTTTTACTCACTCAAATTTAATTAGTTTAATAAGCATAAAACTCAAATGTAGTTTTGTTTCATCAAGTCAGTAACTAATAATGTAGAGTATTTTAATCATGTATATTTTTAAATCTATTTAGTGACATTCACTTCTTTGTGCAGATTGCCTTTTCATCCCCTTCTATTTTCTAAAGAGTATTTATTTTCATTATACTGATTATTTATCCCTTCTGGATCTTATTTTTTAATTTATTTTGCAAAACTTTAATTTATATTGCAAAAACTTGTTTTATCAGTGAGTAACTTGTAAATGATATGCATGGCATCATATTACATCTTAGTTTACATTTTGATACAGTTAAATTTAAAAGCACTTTTCTTAATTTAGTGTGTCTTTACATATCTTATATGGATTTCCATCTATAATATATTAAAGATGTAAAGAGTGAAGTAATAAATTTATTTTACTTTTGTATATGTAAAAAGGACATTAAGAAGAGTCAATTGTTTTTCTATTTAAATTTAAGGCAACCCCTTATGTTTGGGTCTATTTCTAAGTTTTCACTCCAGGTCAATTGTTTTACCTGTTTATCTCAGTTAATTTGTAATATTAGGTTAAAGCTTTCAAATAATTGTCATCAAGCATATTATAGATATCTTACAATAATCATAAATGAGACAGTTTATACTACATCATTAATACCGTTATTGCCTGGGCCAAGAAAATGCTATTGAGTTTTATATAGGGATGTATAGCCAGCTACTCTTTAGTTTTCGTAGTTTGTCTAAAGAAGCTTATATGATCAACAAGTAAAATTTTGTTTCTTAATTTTCAACCATCCTGATGTTTGTTTATGTTATCTGTCTTCATGTATTGACTTTTAGTAATATGTTGATAAACAGTAGGAAAAATGAGGCAATATTTCTTTGTAATTCAATAAAAATGTTTCTATATTTTGAAATATGATATTTGCTGCTAGCTTGGTAGATTTTCAAATTTAAAAAGAGTCTTGTCTCTTCTTACTTTGGCAAATAATATTTTTTAAATAAAATGAATGAATATCAAATTTTGTTAAATTTTTTTTGCCTTTATTGATTACATAATGACATGATGTTGAGCAGTTTCTAATGGCATTATCTGCAATTCATACATCTTTTATGCTGAAGTGTGTACCCAAAATTATCCCCATATTCTAAATTTTTTAATTGAGATTTTAGAGTTCTTTTATGGATACCTAACCTTAAACAGATATATCATTTTTAAATACTTTCTCTCAGTCTGTGGATTGTTTTTCTATACTCTCAATAATGTCTTTCATAGAGCAGTTCTTATTTTTTTGAAGTTCAATTTATCATTTTTAAATTTTAAGGATTATGCCTTTAGTGTTTTATTTAAGCAATTTTTATTCCAGAACCATATGTCAAAAAGATAAGTTTTTCTCCAATAAAGTACTTCGCATATTTGTTGAAAATCAGGTGTGTGTTTATATATTTATATGTATACTTATCTATTATCTATCTGCCTTTCTACAGATCAATCTCTGAACTTTCTATTCTTTCTTGATACCAGATAACCTTTAAAATAAAATTTAAGACCATATGGTGAAAGTCTTCCAATTTTTATCAAAATTGTCTATTTAACTCTTTTTAATTTGCTAATTAATTTAATGCGAAAAAAATTGAGATTGCATTAAATCTTTATCTCAGCTTATAAATAGTTGAAATCCTAACAATTTTGGGGTCTCCAATCCATGATTATGGTATATTTTTCTATTTGTTTAAGCCTTCTTAATTTTCAGTAATTTATTTTTGCAATTTTTAGTGTACAAGTCTTAAACATCTTTATGAGAGTTATCCTTAGTAGTTAGTATTTTTGATAACATTGGAAATAGTATTGTTTGATTTCAATTTACAATATTTCATTGTAAGTGTATAAAAATAATTAATATGTATATATTGCATCTTGGCTAAACTTATTTTTTAATAACAGAATATTTAGATTTTGTAGAATTTTCTACACAGATTATGTAGTTTATGAATAAAAAAGTTTTATATCTTTCTTACCACTTTATATGACAAATGTTTTACTTGCATGATTACAGTGACTAAAACTTCTGTAACAATGCTCAATACATATAGTGAGAAGGTACATAATTGCCTTGTCTCTGATTTTAGGTTTTTCATAGATGTCCTTTACATTAGTGAAGAGTTTGCCTTTAATTTCTAGTTTGTTGAAAGTTTTTTTTAAATTAAATAGGAAATCAATGTTGGATTTGTCAAATGATTTTTATGCATCTGTTGATAAAACTATGTATTTATTAATGACTGTTAATTTAGTAAATTATAGTAATTGAACTTTTAATGTGAAACCCACATCATGCCCTTGGGATAAATCCACTTATAATGGCATATTCTCTGTTTTATATGTAATTGAATCCAATATGTTTTTAAAAAATAATTCATCTGTATTTTAATTTTCTTGTAATAAATTTATCTGGTCATGTTTTCAGACAATTCTGATCTCATGTAATGAGTAAAAATTATTATCTTCAATTTTTGAATGTATTTTTGTTAACTTGATATTATTTCATTTTAAAATATTTAAGAGAACGTATCAATGAAGCTATCTGGGCCTAGATTTTCTTTATGAGAGGGTTTTTACCTACAAATTCAATAAATGGAATCAAAAGCAGGGCTATTCAGGTTGTCTATTTTTTATTTAATGAGCTCTATAATCTTATGTCTCTGAAAGAATTTATATCATCTTAATTGTCAAATTTATAATACAAGTGGTTTTTAATATCTTCAGATTATTTTTTAAATTTCTCTAAATATTCTTTTAATAACAAATTTCCCTACCTTTTCTTTTTCTTTTTGATTAGTCTTGCTAACAGCTTAATCAATTATATTGATCTATCCAAAAAATCAACTTTGTCTTTATTGACTTTTTTCTATTGTGTTTTAGTTCTCATTTGAAATAATTGGTGACATACCTCTAGTAATATGCTTCACAATTGATGTTTGAAATATTTACTTTTAATCAGTTTAAAATATAATTTCCCTTTGTTTTTCCTTTATGAATATTATTGTATTTCAAAATATTTGAGAGTTTTTCAGATATCTTTGTAATTGATTTCTATGTTAATACTAATACAGTCAGAGGATATATTTTCATGACTTGAATATTTTTAATTTATGAAACCTTGTTTTAGTCCTCAGAATAATGTACACATGCTGGCAAATGTTAAATGTATACTCAAAAGAATGTGTATTCTGCTGTTGTTGGGGGAAAATTTATATAAATGTCAATTAGGTCATTCTAGTTAATAGTATTGTTTAAGTCTCCCATATTCTTATTGATTTTATGTGCACCTGTCCTGTAAATTATTATGAGAGAAAAATTAAAATCTCTGATAATAATTGTGGATTTTTCTATTTCTCTTTGAATTTTGATCAAGTTTGGCCATATATTTTTAAATAACTCTTGTTGGCTGCCTACATATTTGGGATTATTATTTCTTTTCCTTTTTTTTAAAGAAAACAAAATCGAAATATTTATTTATCTCCCAGATTATGATATTGGAGATATTCCAAGATGGTAGGATGCCAGGCTAGTGGAAATTCAGTCTTCTATCTTGTTCCACCATCTATTATTTCCGTTGCCAAAGTAATATCATTGTACATGATAGTTATTAAAACTCCAATCATTTTTCCCACATTCCACCCAGAAGTAAGGAAGGAAGGACCAGCGAAGAAAGAGCTTTCTTAATGAAAAGATATTACCAAGGGGTTGCACAGACCATTTCCACCACACCCCATTGGCAAGAATGTGTTTTATTTTTGGTGGCTCAGGTCTATATTAAAGAAGAAACGAATGGATACCGGATGACAACTCTGCCATGGCAGGTATGTTTTCAAGAAGTTTTATTGTAAAAGAGAGGTGAAAAATATGAAAATAGCTGGATGGAAAGTGGAGAAGGAAAATAAACTAATTGTTTTTGAAGGTCAAAGAGAGATAAGCATGCTTAGATATTAAGATTGATCCATTAGTGGAAAAGTTAAAAATACAGAAAGAATACACATTTGAAAATCTTTGCTTAGATATTTGGAAATGAGGGAAAAATACATGCTTTTAAATGTGGTAAACTTGTAGTTACTTTGACAGGAAGTTGAGTCATCATTCATGTGATAATAGGTAAAATCATGTGCTGAGGTTGATATCAAGAATGGCAGGGTAAAGAACGTTTATATTCTCTGAGAAAAAGAAGTCCTTTTTGTGCAAGTCTACCTAAATGCAAATCAAAACCGCAATGCAATGCCACCTTACTCCTGCAAGAATGGCCATAACCAAAACTCAAGAAACAGTAGATGTTGGTGTGGATGCGGTGATCAGGGAACACTTCTACACTGCTGGTGGGTATCTAAACTAGTTTGGCCAGTGTGGAAAACAGTGTGGAGATTCCTTAAAGAACTAAAAGTGAAACTACCATTTGATCCAGCAATCCCACTACGGGATATCTACCCAAAGAAAAAGAAGTCATTATAGGAAAAAGATACTTGCACACGCATGTTTATAGCAGCAGAATTCACAACTGCAAAATTGTGAAACCAACCCAAATGCCCATCAATCAATGAGTGGTTAAAGAAACTGTGATATATATATATATATATACATATATATGTATATATATGCATATATATGATGAATATATATATATATATATATGAATGATGAAATACTACTCAGCCACAAAAAAGAATGAATTAACAGCATTTGCAGTGACCTGGATGAGATTGGAGACTATTATTCTAAGTGAAGTAACTCAGGAATTGAATACCAAACATCATAGGTTCTCACTGATACATGGGAGCTAAGGTATAAGAATGCAAAGGCATAAGAATGATACAACGGACTTTGGGGACTTAGGGGGAAGAGTGGGAGGGGGGTGAGGGCTAAAAGACTACAAATATGGTGCAGTGTATACTGCTCAGCATACACCGAGTGCACCAGCGTACCAAAATGGGTGCACCAAAATCTCACAAATCACCACTAAACACTTACTTATGTAACCAAATACCACCTGTACCCCAATAACTTATGGAAAAATAATTAAAAGCAGAAAAAAAATTAATAATTATTATTTCTTTTGGAGAATTGAGCCATTTAACATTATACAATGTCTCTTTTTATTCCTGGTAATTGTTTTTTTGTGTGTGTGGAATTTCGACTTTAATATTAATTTAGCCGCTCCAACTTTCTTAAGTTTTGTGTTTGCATGATATAGCATTTTTCATATCTTTTTTGTTTTATTTTACTTTTAATTAACAAGTAATAATCTTATATATTTATAGGGTACAATGTAATATTTTAATACATGTATATATTTTCATCTATTTTTAACATATTTGTCTTTATATTTAAGATGGTTTTCTTGTATTCAATGTATAATTGTCTTTTTATTGAATTTGAAGATTTATGTTGAGTATTTAGATATTTACATTTAACACGATTGTTGATATGTTTAGCTATAAATATATTTTCTTGATATTTGTTTTTTATATAAGCCATCTGTCATTTTTACCTTTTACTAATTTGGGGGAGGGCTTTCTATAAATATTGAGTTATCATAATTTAATTTTATCTACCTTGTTGGTTCCTATCGTTTGAATGTGTCCCCAAAACTTTATGTGTTAAAATATTAATCTCCAATGTGGTGATGTTGGGAGGTGGAATCTTAATAAAGGTCATAAGAGCTGTGCCCTCAGGAATGGACTAATATCATTATCAAGGAAGGGGGTCCATTATCAAGAAAAAGCTTGTTAAGTAAAAGCAAGTTCAGCCCCTTCTGTCACCCTTACCCTTTCTTGCTCTTTCAGTTTCCTCAATTGGCTTATGCTGTATGAAGGTCCTTGTCAGGTGTCAGCATCATGGTTTTGGACTTCCTAATAATAACAATAATAATAAGCCAAATAAATTTACTTTCCTTATAAATTTCCCAGTATCAGGAATTCTGTTACAGCAACACAAACTAAACTAAGACATTGATTTATACGATGCAACCCTTTGTTGCGTTATTTTAGTAGTTGCTTTCTGGTTTATACAATGTAAATTAAAATTTTCACTGCTTACCATCATGTGATATTGTAGTAATTCACATGTAGTATAAAATATTTACATAGTATGTTTTCATTTCTTTCCTTCTAGTCCTAGTGCTATCACCTGGTTGCACTTTTTTTTATACAACTGATCTTTTATTAGTTTTATTGAGTTTTAAAATATACTAGAAAAAATTGATACTTTGTTAGTGTACCATTTAATGAGTTTTAGCAAACTCATACAACCATGTAACCATCACCGTAATACAGATGTATGTGTTTTATTGCTCAAATGCTCATTTGTAGACAATACCCTTCTCAACTCACATCTCATGTTAATAAATGATCTGCATTCTCTCCATGTAGTTAATTATCTTAAGAAGTAATATAAAAGGAAAACTATAAAATATAATTGCTTGCATTTGACATTTTTTACTCAGGATAATGCATGTAAGAATTATTCATAGAGTTGTATGTATTATTAATTCTTTTTCTTTTTCTTTTTTTTTGTCTAGTAGCATTGCACTGTATGGATTGGCACTATAGAACATTTATTTATTGGCCAGGCGCCGTGGCTCACGCCTGTAATCCCAGCACTTTGGGAGGCCAAGGCGGGCGGATCACGAGGTCAGGAGATAGAGACCATCCTGGCTAACACGGTGAAACCCCGTCTGTACTAAAAATACAAAAAATTAGCCTGGCGTGGTGGCAGGCGCCTGTGGTCCCAGCTACTCCGGAGGCTGAGGCAGGAGAATGGCGGGAACCCGGAAAGCGGAGCTGGCAGTGAGCCAAGATTGCGCCACTGCACTCCAGCCTGGGAAACAGGGCGAGACTCCGTCTCAAAAAAAAAAAAAAAAAAAAAAAAAAAAAGAACATTTCTTTATTTACCAGTTAAAGAATATATATTTTTCCAAATTTTGTTAATTATAAAAAGGCCACTACAAATATTTACATACAGGTTTTGAGTGTGAACATGCATTTTAATTTATGTTGATAAATATTTAGAAATGGAATTGCTGGGTCATATGGTAAGCGTAGGCCCATAAGAAATTGGCAAACTATTGTGAAATGTGACTATTCAAAAAGTTTTATTCCAACCAGAAATGTATGTATGTGAGTGCCATCTACATCCTCACTGACTTCTTGTTAGTTTTCTTTTATTTCTTGGCCCCCTCCCTTTTAATTTAGGCATTCTAAAAGTTTTCAGTAATATCACAGCGGTTTTAATTTGCATTTTTTTTACAATTACTCATTTATTTTGTTGTAGAGGTCATAAAAATATGCATTTAAAATATATATATTTTTAAATTTCAACTTTTATTTTAGATAAAGAGGATACATGTGCAGATATGTTACATGAGAATATTGTGTGGTATTGAGGTTTGGAGTGTGGATCTCATTACCCTGGTAGTGAGCATAGTACACAATAGGTAGTTTTTAAACACACGCCCCCTCCCTCCACTCTCTAGTAGCCTACAGCATCTATTGCTCCCAAATTTATATCCATGTGTGAGCAATGTTTTTGAAAATCAATTCACCATATATGAGTGAGTTTATTTATGGGTGCTCTATTGTGTTTTACTGATCTGTCATTCTACTTTTGCCAATAGCACATTGTTTGATTCTGTAGCTTCAGAGTACATCTTGAAATCAATTCATATGAGTCTCCAACTTTGTTCTGTAAATATCATTTTTAAAATTGTTTTGATTATTCTATTTTCTTTGTTTTCTTTGAATATTTTATAAACAACTTTTTGGCTTCTACAAAATATTTCTACAAAGTTCTTTCTGGAGTTTTGATTGGAAGTATGTTAAAATTGTTAATCAATTTGGAGAGAATTGACATCTTAAAATGTGTAAGTTTTCCAAAACATGAACATGATGCTTTGTTCCATTAATTTATATCTTCTTTGATCTCTCATATCAGTTTTTTTAGTTTATAGCACACTGATATTGCATATGTTTGTTAAAATTATACCTAGCTTATAAATGATTTGAGGTGCTTAATCAGTGCTACTTCCCAAAATTTTAATTCCAATTATTCATTTTTAGTGTTGAGAAATACAATTAATTTTTGTATAATATAGTATAGTAGTCTTATATTATGTGACCTTACTAAATTAACCTATTACACTTAGTTGCTTGTGCTGCAGATTTGTTAGAAAATCTACATATAGATGGTTATTGCCATGTATGTATGTATGTATGTATGTATGTATGTATGTATGTATGTATTTTTGAGACAGAGTCTCACCCTGTCACCCAGGCTGGAGTGCAGTGGCGCGATCTCGGCTCACTGCAAGCTCCGCCTCCCGGGGTCATGCCATTCTCCTGCTTCGTCCTCCCCAGTAGCTGGGACTACAGGCGCCCACCACCACGCGTGGCTAATTTTTTTTTGTATTTTTTTTAGTAGAGATGGGGTTTCACCGTGTTAGCCAGGATGGTCTCCCTCTCCTGACCTCGTGATCCGCCCGCCTCGGCCTCGCAAAGTGCTGGGATTACAGGCCTGAGCCACGCGCCCGGCCTGCAATTTCTATTGTTATGGTTTCTTTCTAATTTGGTCTTGCGGTCTCTCTGTCCAGAGTGAATATAAATTCCAGCCCTGCTCTGACAGGGCTCCAGAAGAGCTGGTCTTGAATGTTTACTTTGTGTCTTTCACTGAATACATCTTTATCCTTGTAGACTTCCTAATGCTTAAGTGTCCAACCAGTGACCAGATGTCCCTCTCATAGGAAACTTCATACTGGTAGATGCCTTTGTGATTTTTGTCTCACCTGTGTCTATTTATTCCCACAAAGATAGCCACTGTCTAAGAAAGCCCTGAACAGGCGGAGGGTTAAGTTTGGGTACGTTTTTCAGGTGGGACCTGGAAGAGTCAGCACAACAAAACATAAAGTGACAGAAGCATCTTTATTACCTACAGATCCACAAGAAAAGAGAGACACATCCATTAGGGCCAGTGAGAAGTCTCGAGACAGCAGGATGCTCAACCAGCAGGTGAGGAATGAGGAGGGAGTGAATAGAAGAGAAAGAGCAAAAGAGAGATCACCTGTGAGTCTATGGCTATAGTAAGGTCTATGAGTGTTATCCCTTAGGCATTCCTGCTGAGATTGCGGATTGGCTACTTTGAAGAAAACACTGTTAGTCACTAGAAAATGCAACAAGAAAGGGAGAGCTTGTTTGCATGACTCTCATATTGACCATTATGTTTTATTGTGGTCAGTAGCTGTGGGCTATGTTGGGATTTGTCTTAGTAAGATAAGAAGCAAGCAGACTATATTACAAACCAACACATAGGGAGAAGTTTCAACTAGGTCAAAGGAGGCAAGAAACAACTGGATTTCAAATACCTTAGGCCAGACTTAAAAACGGGTGCTGAAGAAGCAGCTATATGAAACAAGTTTATGACAACAAGTATGTTGTTTCTATTTAAGCTTTATTTGTTCTTTCACAATCTCTATGTCTTCTCCTTTTTTTTTTTAAATCTTACTTATTGCACTTATTAAGATCTAGAGTTATTTGATTACAAGAATTGAGAGCAGATATTCTGGGTTTGCTCCTAATTGTAGGAGAAAAGAATCGGTCTTTCACCATTAAGTATAATGTTATCTGTAGACATGCTTTATTTGTTTGTAAATGCCTATTATTGTGTTAAAGAAGTTCTATTCGATTCTGAATTATCTTTGCCCTTTTAAAGATCTTGAATGAATGCTTAACGTTGCAAGTACTTTTTCTGCATCTATTAGTTCTTTACACATATCTTGCCAATTTTATTTTTTATTATCATTTAACTGAATATACATTTCCATTTCTCTTACAACTTTTTATTTAATCCATGGGATATTTATAAGTATGGTGATTAATTTTCAACTAATTAAGATTATTGAGGTATCTTTTTAGTGTTTTCTAGTTTAATTCTATGTGGTCAAAGAACGTCCTTTGTATAATTTCAAGCCTTTAATTTTTTTGGCTTGTGTTTATGTTGTAAAATATAATCTACCTTGGTGAAGCATGCACACTTGAAAAGAATGTGTATTCTGCTATCATTGTGAGGATCAACCTCTGACTTTTTTTTTCTTACCTTGTGCACATTCCTGTCTAAGGAGTCTGGGGAGTCGTGCCCTACAAACCATAAAGTCTCATCAGAGGGGCTTTAACCCTCTATAAAGTGGCCTCCTTTCCAACCTGGTTCTGCCATAACATCACATAACAAATAAGAAAAAAAAATCAAAATACTCTTAACTCCAAATATATTTCCTTGTCTCTTATTGGAAAAAATCTACATTCTGTAGAGAATCCCCTTTTCCTTTTTATGTTTTTCTTTCTTTCCAGATCCAGGAGAAGATCAGCTAAGAGTCAGGCACGCTTTTAAGTCTAATAAGAAAACATTTTACAACCTCTTCTCTCTGAAGCCTGCTCACTAAAAGCTTCCTGTGAACAATATAACTTTGGTCTCCACAATCCTTTATCTTAACCCAAACATATCTTTTCTATTGATCCCATGCCCTTAGACAAACTCAACCCATTGTCAACTAGAAAATTTTAAAATTTACCTATAGCCTGGAACCCCCACTTCCAGTTGCCTTGCCTTTCTGAAGCAAACCAATGTACAACTAAATGCATTTGATTGATGTCTCATGTCTCCCAAAGTTGTATAAAACCAGGCTGTGCTCTAACCACCTCAGAAACATGTTCTCAGGATCTCCTGAGGGCTGAGTCATGGGCCGTGGTCATTCATATTTGCCTCAGAATAAATCTCTTCAAAATATTTTACAGAGTTTGAAGACAATTGTGTAGTGTTCTATAATAGATAATTAAGTCTACTGATGAGCTTTTCTAAGGCATTATTTTCATTCCCCTGTTTTTATTTATTTTCCTACAAATTCCATTTCAGTCTTTCTTATAGTTTATATTTCTTGTGTTAAATTATTAAATTCTGGCAATTTATATTCCCTACCTTTTCTGTTATGGCATTTAGTTTACTGGATTAGTCATAGTCATGTTCCATCCCATTTTGGTAAAATCAGTAATGTCAACATCAGAGACATCTCCGAGCCAGGTTCAAGGTCTGAGTATCTTGATTGTTTTTACTCAATATAAGGTTGTTGTGCCTACGTCACAGAGAAAATTGTGTTATACACTCTTGTTCCTCCTCCAGTGTTGGCCTGGTTTTGCAGTTACTTGGCACTTTCTAGGCTATTGATGAGGAGCAGGGACAGTTCTCTGTACTCTGGTCCAATCCTCTAATCAGATCTTAAGAGAGGGGCATTCTCAGTGATCTTGCCTTTTTTCCCCATGGCAGGTAAAATCTGGTTTTGTATCTTTGGTAGGCCTTATAGAAGAAAGCATTTTCTGATTTTCTGATTTCCCCCCAGTGGTAGGAGACTTCTAATGATACTGGCATAAAATCTCCACTCACATTTTTTCTTACCATACCTTAATGAGTAGAGGTTTATTTTCCTTTATTCTTCTCCCAGCTATAATTGCTCTACATTTTTTGCCCTGCAGTGACATCATTTCTCCCTTTCTCCTACTGGCTCAATGGAAAAGGGTCAGTGTGAGCCTCCAGATGTTGATTTCATTCGTTATGAATGTATCATATAGTAAATCTTCTTCAGTATATATCCAATCCTTTTTGTGATCACCTATAGAGGTTCACAGAGAAGATGGATAACTTGATGCCTATGGTTCCAAGGGCTTCTATATGCTTATGTTAGCCCACAACTGACCTTTAGCAAATGATAACAATTTTAGCTCATATCTTTGTGCCCACTTTTATGGAATACTTTTTTCTATGCCTGGCCATAGGTAAATAATTGCTTGGATCCTATCTCCTGCAGAGAGACCTGACATTCCTTAGAATTGAGCCCGCTTGGTTGCCTTGAAACGTTGGTGGGCTCAATAAAAATATACGTAATTTAATTTATCCATATTTTTCTTCTTATTATAGTAAGAATATTACTATTTTGAGTTTTATATATCCTACACAATAAAATAAACTCTGTAGGTGATTTTAAGATTTTCCCTCTGTCTTTAAATATCAATATGTTACTATGATTTGCCTATGACTAATTTTCTTTGTATTTATTCTAGCTAGATAATATTGACATTCTTGAATTTGTGGTTTCATGGCTTTTATTATTTTTGTAAGACTTTGGATCTCAAATCCCTCTATATTGTGGTAGTTATAAACTTCAGTTAGTCTTTCCCCAGGCCATTGTAATTGCCCAAAATTCTGGACTGCCATTTTCTATTTAGTCATTGTAGCTTACACTACTAATCAGAGAAACCTTTAAAAAAATCAGCAGAAACTAAACTTTTAACTAAATGTTCTTTATCACTCAGCTTCTCAAGTTCTGTCTAACTTGATTGTTTTCCAATAGCTCACAGAGGAGATTTTTTTTTTTTTTTTGGTAAATCATCATTGTTATCTAACTTTTAAGGTGTTCTAAGTAAAAATTTTTTTTGATGTGAAGTACCCTGTAATAGCCTAAAGTAGAAGCTTTTGTCACTATTTCTAGATGTACTAGGGTTTCACTACACTGTATCAAGCTGAGAAGGTATTTTTATTTATCTGCTTGGAAATCACCATTTTTCTCTGTTGTTGTTTTTACTGAACAACACATGTCTTTCTTCAATTCTGGAAACTTGTGAATAATTATTATTTCTAGTATTTCTTATTTGCCATGTAATGTATTTTATTCCATTAGAACTATACTTTGGGAGGCCAAAGGAGGAGGACTGCTTGAGGGCAGGAGTTTGAGATGACCCTGGATAACATAGTGAGACCTTGTCTCCACAAAATAAAATAAAATAAATTAGTCAGGCATGATAGTGCATGCTTACAGTCCTAGCCACTAGAGAGGCTGAGGCAAGAGTATTGCTTGAGCTCAGAAGTTTGAGGTTATTGTGTGTTCTGATCTTCTGTACTCCAACGTGACTGACAGAGTGAAACTCCAACTGAAAAAAAAAAAAAGAACTCTATGTGGACCTACTCTGAAGTTCTTCTATCTTTTCATGCTTTTGATTTTATAATTAATAATTCTTATATAAAACACTACTGCCAATTGGGGATAAGAGTCTTTAAGACAGTGGTGTGCTTCTATTAAATATTTGAATATGTTGGCTAAAGTGATTTTGTGTTCAATATATTAAAATATGTAATACATGTGTATATGTGTATGAACATAGACTATAATATTTAGTAGGAGAGTAAAACACTTTTAGCAAAGGAATGCAACTGATAGAAGTGCTTGCCATGTTTGGATACCACAAAAGAGACAAAGACAGTATCTACATAAAGACAACAGAAAAAGTTTGGCAAGAAACGGAAAACCACAGATGGTTGTAGGTGGCAGTTTCTTAGCAGCAGAAACAGATTTTCCTGAGAAAACATTTCATCAAAACTTTGCTTTGAACAAGTCTGTTCTACCATATTGAGGACAATATTCAGAAAATAAAAAAAAAAAAATCTTTGCTAACATACAGGAAGCAAATGTTGAGAGTCTTTATATGGTGGTTATACTCTAAGAAGGACAAATGCACAGAACTAATCTCATCTCCATGATTTGCTCTTGAACAGGGCCAAGTCTAACCAAAATAGTACACTAGGTAGAGTTACCTAGCGTACTCAGAGACCTCAGCTAGCTTCTCTTCCAATGTCTAACATTTCTCCTGTTGTTCCTACTTGTTTAAAGTCCCAGAAGAATTCAGTGTCTGCAAACCCTTATGAAAGATGAACAGCTTTCAAACAAGGAAATTTACACTGACATGGTTTGATGTTTACTTTCTTCCTGAGGCCTTGAATTCAAAATAAAATGAACACATACTAATTAACTGAATCCCGCTGATGCACTTTCAAAAATCAGAAATAAGTTAAAAGAATTTTTTTATCTTAGAAATACTATATTTTTGATAATGTTTTATTATTATTTTTACTTCAGCACTTTAAATATGTCATGCCACTCTCTCCTGGTCTGTAAGGTTTCCAGTGAAAAGTCTGCTTCCGGATGTATTAGAGCTGCTTTATATGTTATTTATTCCTTTTCTCTTGCTGCTTTGAAGATCCTTTCTTTATCATTGGCCTTTGGGGGTTTGGTTATTAAATTCCCTGAGGTAGTCTTGTTTGGGTTAAATCTGCTTTGTATTTTATGACCTTCTTGTACTGAATATTAATTCTTTCTCTAGATTAGAGAAGTTCTTTGTTATTAATTCTTTGAATAAACTTTCTACCCTAATCTCTCTACCTCCTCTTTAAGGTCAATAAGTGTTAGATTTGCCCCCTTGAGGCTATTTTCTGTATCTTATAAGCATGTTTCTTCTTTTTAATCTTTTTCCTTTCTTCTCTTCTACTGGGTATTTTCAAATAGCCTGTCTTCAAGTTCACCAATCCTTTCTTCTGCTTGATCAGTTCTGCTGCTGAGATACTCTGACGCATTTTTCAGTTTGTCAATTGAATGTTTCAGTGCTAGAATATCTGCTTGATTTTTTAAATTATTATTTCAATCTCCTTGCTAAGTTTCTCTAATAGAATTCTGAATTCCTTCTCTGTGTTTTATTGAAGCTTGTAGAGTTTTCTCAGAACAGCTATTTTTAATTATCTGTCTGAAAGGTCACATATCTCTGTCACTGTGCGATTGGTTACTGGTGCCTTATTTAGTTTATTTGGTGAGGTCAAGATTTTCTGGATGTTCTTGGTGCTTGTGGATGTTTGTTGATGTTTGGGCATTGAAGATTAAGTATTTATTCTAATCTTTGCAGTCTTGGACTATTTGTACCTGTCCTTCTTCTTGAGAAGACATTCCACCATATTCAAAGAGTTGTGATCTAAGTCTTTGGTCCTGCAGACATCTCTACAATAGTGGATCCCCAATCCTAGTGATGCTACAACTCTTGCAGATTCCCACTGCCTTGGTGGGTTTGAGTAAGACACAGAATTCCTTGAATTACCACACAGAGTCTCTCTTTCTCTTCCCTCACTTTCCCAAAACAAATGAGGCCTATCTCTCTGTGTCTCTGAGTTGCCTGGAGTTGGAGGAGAGATGGTGCAAGCACTCCCATGGCCACCACATCTGGACTGTGATGGGTCACACCTGAAGCCGGTGCAGTACTGGGTCTTGCCCAAGGCTCATGGTAACTACAGCCTGGCTACTACTGATGTTTATTCAAGGCCCATGGGCTCTTTTGTCAGTAAGTGGTAAATCATGCTGGGACTGGGTTCTACTCTCCCAAGCACAGAAGGGAACTTCTGGCCCAAAGTAGGTCTAGAAATGCCCAGGAGCTAGGGCCTGGAATCAGGGGTTTTGGCAATCTGATGCTTTATTTTACTGTGGCTGAGCTGGTACCCAGGTTGCAAAACAAAGTCCTCTTTACTCTTCCTTCTTCTTTCCACAAGCAGAAGTCTTTCAGAGCTGCACTGCCTGGAGTTAGGGGAGGGGTGACTCAAGCACTCCCTTGGTCGCCCAAGCAGTGTCTTCCTGAGCTGTACGCACTCTAATTCCCTGGGTCTGAGCCCAGCAGAGCACTAGGTCTTGCCCAAGGACTGCAGTTCTTGTGCCCTGAGTTTCTTTCAAATTTATTCAGAACCCTAGGGTTCTTTAGTTGCCAGTGGTGGAGCTAGCCAGAATTTAGATACTTACTGTTGGGGTGGAGGATTCCCTTCTAGCCAGGGCTAGTTAAAATGCTCCTTCCGTGAACAACTGGAAGAATGATGCCCTAATTGTGTTCCCCTATGACAGGCAGCACTGAGTTCCAACGGAAAGCCCTACAGTCACCTCGCTCTCCACTCTCCTTCCCCCAAGCACACATATTCTCTGTCCGCATGCTGCTGGGATGGATGGGGGAGAAGTGGTGTAGGCAATGAATGACTATCTTTTCTGTCCTCTTCACTGACTATTTCCTTGAAATAACGTTAAAATCAGGTACTGTGATTGCTCATCTGATTTTTGGCTCTTATGAAGGTACTTGGTTGTGTGGATAGTTGTTCAATTCGGTGTCCACGTGGGGAGACAACTGCTAAAGAATTCTCTTCAGCCATCTTGTTCTGCTTCTCCTCTACCAATGCTTGTTTTGACTCTAGACATGCTTTATGATTTATTTTTTGCCATTATAGGAAACTGTGCAAAACATTATCAACCGTTGGTATATAAGAGAACAGTGATTGCTACTCAGTACTACTTATTTACCACATCCTTTAAGTGTGTGCTTTAATTAACAGTGCTAGATTACTTCTAGCACTCTATCTAGCTTTGAACCTTACCTGATTTGGAGTATCCTATTTTCTATTTAATTAAAGTACAGGATCAGTGTAATGTAGCAGTTAAGAGTACATATGTCTTTCAAGGTGAACCTAGATGAGAAAATAAATCACAATTTCCTCATCTGTAAGATAAATACATATTTATCATCTCATAAAACTTTATAAGTTTTGGAAATATATAAAAGCATTTAAAATAACTTCTGACCCTAATTACTCAATAAATATTAGCTATCATAGCCAATATTCTTAAATAAATGGATAAAATATTTTTAAATTATTATATGTAGAATGATGGTATCACCAAACTCACATTATTAAACTTTAATATTTCAACTATTACTTTTATGATGAACTCTTTGTTAGTGTTTTTAACATATTTAAAACAGATACATTTTTTGCTTAATAAATTCTATAAGTACATTTATAATAAGTATTTTTATCTTGGAAGAAATTAATTTTCCTCTTTTTCAAATATATTATTTAATATTAGACCAATTTAAAATGTTGTGTTTAAAAAAATCAGTCCTGGTTTAGAAAAACTATGTCATAAACAATTGCATTTTAGTTAAAATCTTAGGAAGCAGCATACAACTTAAAGGAAATATGCCAATCATAATTCAAAAGCTATTAAAATGCATGCAGATTTATTAAGTTGTTTACATATGTTTGATAAATGTGGAATATATGAAGAGTTACAAATTGATATTTATAGTCAGAGACTTTAGAATGATCCAAAACATTTGCTTTATATTGAATACTACAACTTAAAACTGTAACAACTTCAAATTATCATCATCAACAACCAAATTTAACAACATCGACAACAAAAAAAGATTTAGACAACAGTTCTTAATAACTGAAAAGAATGAGTCATGGAAAAGCACCAGCAAAGCCAGTTTAGTGGGCTGCAAGTAGAAGAGAGCTTTCACCAAGGGGAAAAACAGACACAGACATTGGAAACAGTACCTCCCTTGGATATTAAGCTAACAAAGAGTAAGGCTGAATAGGCTGAGAGAAGGCAGTTCATAAACAGAAATTATGGGAGAGAAAACTAAGAAAGATTTTATTAGTTCTAGTGTTACAAGACAGTGTTAGGAGAAGCATCGAAAAAATGCTTGAATGCTTTTGGATACAATTCTTTAAGTGTCAATGGGCAGATCATGTGAGGTCAGGAGTTCGAGATCAGCCTAGCCAACATGGTGAAAACCCACCTCTACTAAAAATACAAAAATTTTAAATATTATTAAATATTAAATATTACAGGTATATGCCTGTAATCCCAGCTACTTGGAAGGCTGAGACAAGAGAATGGCTTGAACCTGGTAGGCAGAGGTTACAGTGAGCCAAGGTCACGCCACTGCACTCCAGCTTGGGAGATGGAGCAAGACTCCATCTCAAAAAAAGAACAACGACAACAACAACAACAAAGAAAACTAATTTTAAACAAGTTTTCACTTCAAAGAATTTAGATAGAAGTCATTTAAAAAATTAAAAAAATGATAATTTAGCTCAAAAAGTTTTAAGTGAACACTAAATATTATATATATATTTTTTTATCTTCCAATTCTTATTTAAAAAATTATTTTCATTCAGAACATACTATCTCAACAAAGTATGTTTTGTTTTTTTTTTTTTTTTAGAAAAAGAAAGATTGGCTGCTCATATTGTACTTATATATAAACACTTTTAAAATTATATTTTAATGTAGTTCTTCTACCTTAGCGTACTTTCAATATATTCTTGTAATATTAAAACTGGGTTTTTCAACAGATGCTGGAAAGGCTGTGGAGAAACAGGAATCCTTTTACACTGTTGGTGGGAGTGTAAATTAGTTCAACCATTGTGGAAGACAGTGTGGCGATTCCTCGAGGATCTAGAATCTGAAATACCATTTGACCCAGCCATCTCATTACTGGATATATATCCAAGGGATTATAAATCATTCTACTATAAAGACACATGCACACGTATGTTTATTGCAGCACTATTTACAATAGCAAAGACTTGGAACCAACCCAAATGTCTGTCAATGACAGACTGGATAAAGAAAATGTTGCGCCGGGCGCAGTGGTTCACACCTATAATCCTAGCACTTTGGGAGGCCGAGGCGGGCGGATCACCAGGTCAGGAGATCGAGACCATCCTGGCTAACATGGTGAAACCCCATCTCTACTAAAAATACAAAAAATTAGCCGGGAGTGGTTGCGGGCGCCTGTAGTCCCAGCTACTCGGGAGGCTGAGGCAGGAGAATGGCGTGAACCCAGGAGGCAGAGCTTGCAGTGAGTCGAGACCGCGCCACTGCACTCCAGCCTGGGCAACAGAGCAAGACTCCATCAAAAAAAAAAAAAGAAAAAAATGTGGCACATACACACCATGGAATACAATGCAGCCATAAAAAAAGAATGAGTTCATGTCTTTTGCAGGGACATGGATGAAGCTGGAAACCATCATTCTCATCAAACTAACACAGGAACACAAAACCAAACACCGCACGTTCTCATACGTGGGAGTTGAACAATGAGAACATATGGACACAGGGAGGGGAACATCACACACCAGGGCCTGTCAGGGGTTGGGGACAGGGGGAAGGAGGGCATTAGGACAAATGCCTAATGCATGCGGGGCTTAAAATCTACATGACAGATTGATAGGTATACCTATGTAACAAACCTGTACGTTCTGCCCATGTATCCCAGAACTTAAAGTAAAATAAAATAAAATAAAACTTTTTTTTCTTTTTTGATAATATTCTTACAGGTTAATTATGGATTTTTTTTCTAGTTGACCACTACAATGAGTAGCTAAAACACTAAAAAAAAAAAAATGTTTAAAAAAATAATTCGGCCGGGCGTGGTGGCTCACGCCTGTAATCCCAGCACTTTGGGAGGCCGAGGCGGGCGGATCATGAGGTCAGGAGATCGAGACCATCCTGGCTAACACGGTGAAACCCCGTCTCTACTAAAAATACAAAAAATTAGCCGGGCGTGGTGGTGGGCGCCTGTAATCCCAGCTACTCGGGAGGCTGAGGCAGGAGAATGGCGTGAGCCCGGGAGGCGGAGCTTGCAGTGAGCCGGGATAGTGCCACTGCAGTCCAGCTTGGGCGAAAGAGTGAGACTCCGTCTCAAAAAAAAAAAAAAAAAAAAAATAATAATTCACATAACTAGGTGGCTTGAGAAGGGAATAAGATAAATAGGAAAACAAACATCAAACAAACTTTCCTAATAACAGTCATCCTGAGAAAGAGAATTGCACTCAATTAGAGAATATGTTAGTTTAAAATATGCTGCTTAAGTTTGTAGATTTTCTCTGTCTCTTTATGGCACTAAAATGGAGCTTCATTCATGTGGCCTTAGACTTGAAACTTAAATGTGGGAGGTTTGGTTATAGAAAGCAATAATACGTTTACCCAGGGAAGATTTTAAAATTCACATTTGCTCCTCATCTTTCTAATGTTGACACACCACCCTGGCATATTATTTATGACCAAATAAAGAAAACCTTTCTTTTGTTTATGCCAAAAACAACTATGAAATTACCAAAACACTTTGCTGAGATAAGGATAGCTAAAATTATGTAACTATAATATACAATTTTAGAAAAGGGAAAAAAGGAAGGAAGGAAGGAAAGGGAAGGGAAAGGGAAGGGGAAGGGGGAGGGGAGGGGATGGAGGAATGAAAAAAGGGGCAGAGAGGAAGAGAAGAAGGCTGAGATCTGAAAAGAAGAGACTGAGAATCATTAGTCTAATTTTAAAAATTTAAAAATAGAAAACTGCTTTTATTGAAAAAGCCTTCCATAATGGCAGGTATAAAATGTTGATTACTTTATACTGGAAAGCATAAAAAGTTCAGGTCTTGTTAGTCTCATCAAGCATTGTCTTGTCTAATCGTTAAAGGCAAAATATTAGTAATGAAAAATAAGTAAGCCAAGTGACAGCTTTCCTCATGGTCACTCAGCAAATACATGCTTAGCCAATTTATACCATCTGCTACGTAAGAGTTAGAGCAGGGAATGAGGGATGGAAAAATCAGTGGTGAGATGTCAATAGGGAGAGGCCACTGAAAAAGAGAAAGGTTTCCAACTGTTACCAGACACATAACACAGGACCTGAGTGGTCACTCCCCATGAATTACAGATAGCTAAGAGAGAAATAGGAGTCAATGGAAAGCGAGAGTTGATAATCCTGGTTGGAAGCCCCACTGTTATATCCGTTAGTCTGCTGTACTTGAAGAAATAAATAAACACTGTAAAAATAACCCTTGGATGAAAACCAAAGGTCTTCCAACACACAAATCAATACTGTTCAAAAAGGAGGAATTTTTGCTAAAAGCTGAGCCCTAAGAAGGGAAATTCTGTTGGTATAAGTGTGTCTGTTTTGTTGGTGTATTTGTTTTGATACTTTAGTTGGAGTCAATAATGGTAGGTATTAATACAAGTAGAATTTGTGATCCTTGTCTGGGTACTTGAAACAAATCCTTTTTTAAAAAAAAGCATCATAACAATCCTTAATAGTAGATAACATGACAAGGAATGATTGAGGAAAACGTGGTCTACCAAATGGCAGAAGATAAAAATATCAGAGGTGAATAACCAATCACATGAATTAATATTAAAATGTCAAATTAGGAGTTATGAAAAGTTTGGGGTTTTACCATAATTTTAAGCTTGCAAGTCAGTTAGCTCTTCAAAATTTCATAGATCCTGGCAGACAACAAAAGGCCTTGGAGTCAGAGAAAAAAGGGCAATAGCAAAAGCCAAGCCACAGAAAGTCTTGTATCAATTCCTTATGCTCCAATTCTCCCATGGCGACACACTGAAGACAATGAGATGTCTGTGTCGTATAGTGGGGTTCATTACAAGAGGTGAACCCTGAGGGTAAGAAACCCTCATTTTATATGGAGACTGACCATGAACTTGCTTATTCTCCCCATCTAGAGAAGGACATTATCTTAATACCTTGGAATACAGTTTAATCTTCTCTGGGAAAAGAGGAATATATGTACTTATAGAGAAGTGTAAGTAAATTTACTTCAGTTGGATCCACTGCCTCTATTTTCCCAAGGCCATGCCCTTGATACAATGTCAAACATAAGAAAAGATAGTCTGAAGATAAATGGCTGGTAATACCAAATCACATAGAAACAACACACACACCCACACACACACACACACACACACACACACAGTTATATATATCACACATGTTTGACATAAATATTGACAAAATATAAGAGTACAAAAAACAGCAATGTAAATTCTCATTGTGCTAAAGGAGTTAAAATGGAAATTATTATCAAAGCCAAGAATATAGAGCACACATATAGAGTAGTGTATTAAATAACTTTAACACATGTTCATTATAAAATACATTCATTAAGAAAAAATTTAAAGCAATGATTGTTCTAATGGTTAGGAAAAACATATACACTCAATTATACTTTATATTTATATAAATAAGCTACCAAACTAAGGGTACAAATAAACAATATATTTAATAAAGCAACCTCAGTTTTGATATTATAATTATGATACAGTATTTTATGTTACATACATAACTTTATATATTAATATTTTAAGTGCAGATGAACAATTTTTAGTTTTATTATTGATTAGCGAACATTTTGATAAAGTTCAAATATATTTTGCAATGAGAATCTATAATGCTTGTGGGTTGAATGTTTAGATTGTAAATCTCAAATAAAAATAGCTGCTTTGAATGTGAAATTTGAAATTCTATGTATTGACAATTGTTTTCTTGGCCTCGTGCGATGGCTCACACCTGTAATCCCAGCACTTTGGGAGGCCAAAGCTAGCTGATCACATGAGCCTAGGAGTTCAAGACCAGCCGGGGTAACATAGCGAAACCCCGTCTCTAAAAAAAATACAAAATATTCTCTGGGCATGGTGGCACAGGTGTGTAGTTCTAGCTACTTGGGAGGCTGCGGTGGGAGAATCATCTAAGCCTGGGAGAGGCTACAGTGAGCCATGATTATGCCACTTCATCCCAGTCTGAATGACAGAGCAAGACACTGTCTCAAAAAAAAATTAAATTAAATAATAAATAAAATGAGAATTGTTTTATTGTTGGCATTCTTTTATCCCAGAGAAGCAGATGCTTTCATATTAAATATGAGCTTAATTCAGCATTGCTATAGCTAGTTATTCCTTACTGAGTATGTTGTCTACATAGTGTATGTTGGGGAAATTTAGAAATGCTAATATAAAGAAGAAGTAAAATATTTATGAATAGGATGGAGAACAGTTCACAATTTAGTTACCTTTCTGCCTTGTCATGAAGCTTTTCATCCTAATTGTTTTAGGAATAAGAAGAAAACAATATTAATGTTGAGTCTATAATGACTCTTTGCTAAGCAGACTAATTATATTAGAGATAGAGTAATTAAGATAATTTATTGTACTTTAATATTTGACAATAGGAAATGCTCTTAATGAATTCATTTACAGTAATAATCAGATGGATTTAATTCTCTTTTATTAGTAAAACTTGTGATTGGCAGGGATTCCATGCTACGCAAAGGACTCTCCTATAATATTCCTGAGAAATGAAGGCCATTGTATTTGCCTGATTGAGTGATTCCAGTGGTAGAGATCGCTTTCATCCAGGAGTACAAATTCTTCAAATTCTGCATAATTGTAAACTGATATATTTTTATTGTTATATTTGACTAATATATTATTTGGTACTAGTGTATTACTTCTAAAAAGAATTTTAGTATACAGTAATCTACTCCATTTTTTGCAAATAAGAAAGTGTTCTAACATTATCTAGTTAGTTGCAGTCCCAGGCCAGAATTCATATTTTTTGGTTTCAGTGTTTTCTTCAGTGTGCCAGCCAGTTAGATAAAAAATTCTAGTCTTACATCCCTTACTACTTCTGCTATAGGACTGGCTAACCCAAAATATCTGGGATAGATGTTGATTTAAAATATAAAGAAGAAATATTTATAAAGTGAAGTGATGGATAAATCGAACCTTTATTTACCTTGAACTTGATTTACCACCTGAGGAACAAATTGAGTATTTATTTAATTTGAACTTGATTTATTACCTAAAATAGAGGGGGAGAGCAATGTTTTTGAGTCTGTGATTGAAATATTTATAATGTGAAAAACTTTACTGCTTGAAGATAAATAATGATTTGGTACAATATAAAAGGGTGTTCCCGCTGGGCACAGTGGCTCACGCCTGTAATCCCAGCACTTTGGGAGGCCGAAGCGGGCAGATCACGAGGTCAGGAGATCGAGACCATCCTGGCTAACACGATGAAACCCCGTCTCTACTAAAAATACAAAAAATTAGCCGGGCGTGGTGGCGGGCGCCGGTAGTCCCAGCTACTCGGGAGGCTGAGACAGAAGAATGGCGTGAACCCAGGAAGCGGAGCTTGCAGTGAGCCGAGGTCACGCCATTGCACTCCAGCCTGGGAGACAGAGCGAAGCTCCCTCTCAAAAAAAAAAAAAAAAAAAAAAATGTGTTCCAAAAAGTTTAATGCTGTCATCTTTCTCATAAATATTTTTTGAAAAGTCAAAATATTAAAGTTAATATGTTAATATCAATTTTATTCTGATGTTCATTAATTGTCCATTTGTTTCAAATAAATAATCACAATGTCTTCAAAGCAGGCTGCCATTCATCTATGGGATTAATTATATATATTCTTGATTCTCCACTGTTTCTTGCTCCAATCGGAATTATCAGTATAAATCTCAATAACCTCAAGTGAGAGTTTACATCTGAGAGCCTTTGATTGCACTTGAGCAGTGTGAACAGGCAGCCTGGATAGATGTTTTCTGTAGACCTGCTGTTCTCCATATGCTTCTTTGCTAGGATCTAATTCCTATTGCGGGGATTATCATCTGTTGCCAGGATATCATGAATGAGTAGATGATTCTAATCAACCCCCAAAACCACATAGTTACAACCTTTTCTACATCAGTAAAACTGATCAGAAAAAAAGGTTTTATTGTAAAGTAGTGTTTAAAAAGTAAAATGTGTTTAAATGTATTTTGTGAATTCCTATTAAAGGTAGCTCACGCCATTTGCTTAGAACTTATATACCTGTAGTGTTCAACTAAATCTTAATTATTTGTCATACTATTAAAGAGAAGCACATAATTGCTTATTCCTTCCAACATTATATTTCTAAATCTAAATTATCAGTTGCATGGATTATCAAGGTAATTGTAAAAATTAATTTTGTACATTTGTCATAAGTCTATTTTAATGACTACATTTGTTCTTTTAAAATCCAGTGGTCTAAACCATTTTACAGGTCAGTTTAAGTACCTTACACAAAAACTACTCAAGAATAACTTTAAAATCATGTCTTTAGTATAAATGCACAAACTTGGAAAGGTCAAGGAACAGAGCTAAGCTTGGAAAGTGCTAAAAGAAATCAAGTGCGCTAGGAAAGCACTGGAGCAGAACAAGATGATGCTCAGATAGAGTGGGTAAAGCTCAACTAGATTAGAAGCCCAGCTAAGCTAACAGAGAATGGTGCTGTGCTCAAAGTTTCTAGGGAAACTTAGAATCTGTTAACAAAATTCATTATCAGTTCCTGTACCTACAAACGGACCCTAGCTATTTCAAGTCCATCTGTGAACTCTCCGGACATTAAGAGAACCATTGCTGAAATATAAGAGTGATGGGTTAATTAGGGGAAAAAATCAGTATGCTAGTTTTATCAGGCTATTGTTTTCCGATTTCTTTTTTCAAAATTATGTTATGTAAATCTCTACTTCCAGCTATAAAACATTAAAAGCTACTTGATAAGCCCTACTATTGTAAACGACATTTAAAATAGACAACATATATTAGGCAGTTCTTTTCAGACATCGGACAACAGATAGTTTAAGTTTATAATCCATGATAGGAAGAAAATGCATGTGGTTAGCCAAATGATCAGCCTTGCTCCATGCTGCATTCAACTAGAGTTCAAAAAAGAACCATGGTGGTCCCCTGAGTAAAAGATCAGAAGTTAGAATGCAGAGAAGCAGAAGCAACTGGAAACTTCAGGGCTGTTCCCTAGAGAGAGGGTAGGCAAGTGGGAAACCTCACATATTATTTGGAGAGTTCCCCCATAAATCCATGGATGACAGTTACATTGCGTATGCACAAGGGAAATCTTCAGGTTTATCACAGAGGGTATCAATTTATCAAACCTACTGTAGGTTTGAGAGACAAGCAAATGTACTAGAGGTCAAACAGTGCTGAGAGATTCTATATTTTGTGGTTCATTCAGAGTGAAATAGTATGTTTATAACAAAAGGCATCTGACTAAGACCTGGTTTATATGTAAGAATCAAATAACCACAAGTAAAAATGCATCTACACCTGCTCTAAAAGGGCCTAAAGCCAAAGCTTCACAAGGTGTTCACAGAAGACAGAGATTGCAGTTTGAATCATGTCAAATTAGAAGGGCTTTGAAAACACTTTGGACTTTCTGTACAACTTCCCTAACAAACTCTCAATTTAAGCACACAAAACATCAACGTCATTAGCCAGTAATTCAACTACCTACTAGAACTAAAATCAACATATGTCACAGGAAATTAGCACACTGCAGTTTCTACAATAGGTAATCGGTAACATAAAGCATAGAATAAAAATTATTAAACCTACAAAGAAAGCTGAAAATGTGATTCAGACACCAAAACTAAAGCAGTATAAAAAAAGTTCTGAAAAGACATGGATTTTGAACCTAGCAGACAATGATTTAAAATCAGCTATTGATAAATATGTTCACAAACTTTAAAAATATGATCTTAATGAATAAACAGAAAAAGGAGTTCAGCAAAGAAACAGACACTATAAATAAACAACCAAAGAGAAATTCTTTAATTGAAGCGTATCATAACTAAAATGAACAATTCACTGGGTAAGTATTGACAGAGTACAGACTCGGAGAACTTCAAAAGTTATCAGAGTGAAAGATCCAATCCGAACATAAACAAAATTGAAGAAAATTAACAGAGAATCAAGAAATCTATGATATAAGGCCCAAAGTTTAACACACCTGTAACCGAAATCCTAAAAGGAGAATAAAATGGGACTAGGGCAGAAAAAAGATTTGAAGATATACTACCTAAAGTTTTCCAAAATTTGAAGGAAAAAAAACAAACTATTATACAGATTCAGGAAGCTTAGTGATCTCTTAGAAGAATGCAGAGAAAACCATACCTAATTACATCACAGTAAAATCCATAAAAAACAAAGACGAAAAGAAAAGGCCAAACTGGCTTCAACGTGGTATATTAAAATTAAATATACAAGTATAAAAGAGTAGTTGATTATTCATCGAAGCAATGAAGGCTAGAGATAATGGTTCAACATTATTTAAATACTGAAAGTGGAGAAAAAACACTTCTTTTCCATCAACTCAAAAACAAACTCCTTACTGATTTTATCATATATTTAATTGGTTATTCCAGTACATTCTTCATGTTACAGCCAAGTGATGTTCTAATATGTGAATGAATTCATTCACATTTCTGCTTCTAACTCTACATTAGCTGCCATTTGTCTTGGTGATAAAATCTAAACATACCATTGCTTAATATAGGAATGCAAAATACTCCAGCCTGGTTTCTTAACCCCACCTTTGTATTTTCTACTTAAGCTATATTGAACTCCCTTTTCCAGCCAAGTGCTGTTTGTTTTCTCCTCCCTAACATTTAAAAACAAAGTTTTATTTTATACCAGTCTCCTCTGCATACTATCCCTCACTTTATATTTGCCTAGTATATAATTCAGGACATGCTAGGTTATACTCTAAGAACAAAAAGCCCCAAATTAGAATGGCTTAAAACACCAAAGGTTTAAATTTTATTTGCACAAATTATGCTGCTGACTCAGAAAACTTCCCAGTGCAGCCAACCTGCCTGTGATGATGTAGCCTTTACATCAAAAGAGGGAGAAAATTATGGAGAGTTGAGTCCTAGCGTTTTTTTATACCTGTATCAGAAAAATTTTTTAAAAAGTAAAAAATATAGTTCTTTCACTCAAAATTCACTGGCCAAAAGACAAGAAAGTTTCATCCTTCTATATGCCGGGAAGCCAATCAAATTACCAGATGCTATAATATCCACCTCTAAATAACTCCTAGTGATCCTACCATCTTTAATCTGAAATGTCAGTTTTTGGAAGCCTTTCTTATCTACAACTCATTCACATTCCAGTTTTGATATCCCTCTCACACATATCTATTCTTTTCTTGGAGCATACCTTAGATCTCTCACATCAACAATGATGCCATTGTGCTAGTGTGTGTTTAATTATGTATTTCTCCCAGCTTTAAGGAAAATGGCAGAAGGTCATTTTTGCAACAAACTGACTAGGTGTGATGGGCAAGGGATATGTTATTTATTAGTATTTCTTAAATGTACAAATAAAGGAGTGAATGAATTACCACATAAGGCAAAAATGATCAACAGATTTTTAGAGAGAATTTAGTATATTACCTTCATGGTATTGTATCTAAAATAAAAAGTTTAAAATACCTTACATTTTACAAAACTATTATGCAATTAATTCTTAAAGATAAATAAAGTATCACCCAACAGAGTAGTGGAATAATAATAGGCTAAAACCTATTGATTAAGTTGGAAAATTAAAGGAAAAATATGAAATAAATAAAAAGCATTGATGGTGTTTATCTGATTTTTGTTTACTTAGTATGTCATTTGCAACTATTTTAAATCTAAAATTCTTAAAGATGCTGCAAGTATCTAATTTTTTTTTAACTTCACAGTTTTGAGTTTCTGGCATCTCTATCAAGCAAATTGTAAATCCAAAAAGATAGAAAAAATCCATAAAAAGGTATTCCAAGAAAATATGTAACACCGTGAATGCTGGCTGGTAAATGTGACTTCAGTGTTCTCTTTCATTACCATCACTACCTCAAGATTATGTTTGACTCGATTATTTCAGACTCACTCTACTTATGTTATCAAAATATATAAAAAGACAAGATAAATTGGAAACATCATGTATAATGCTTGGAAATCTCTTTTGTGTATTCACACTCTGATAATATCCATCATGAAGTTTTTATTCATGTTTAAATATGTAAAAACCTGTTTATTCTCTTAGTTGAAGGACATAATTTGCACTAATGCTTATATAATTGAGGCATAGAGTTCTAACACAGTAAGCATAGAAATTCATATGAACTAAGAGAAATATCTGAATTCTTGATAGTAAATAATATTACTGTCAATGGCAAAAAACGCAATTACTTTTGCACCAACAGTTTGCAGAAACATTTATGACACAAATAAGAGAGAATTGCAAAGAAGGTACTGCCAAACTACCTTTTACATCTATTCATGCATTTATTTATTTGTCATAGAAAATAAAACTCTGATACCAATATATCAATTTTAATGTATTTTTTAAAGTATACATGCAGTATAAAGACAATGTAATATATGTCTATCCCTATACAACGGAATGTTCTGTATTAAATAAAGTTATATTGTTGAATAAGATTAGTAGAACTTTTCAAATCATAGTAAGTAAAATATTCATATAAAAGTCTATTTGAGGTATAACATGGTGGCTCATGCCTGTAATCCCAACACTTGGGGATGCTGAGGCAGGGGGATCGCTTGAGGCCAGGAGTTTGAGACCAGAGTTGGCAACATAACAAAATTCCATCTTGACAAAAATACAAAAGTTAGCTGGGCATGGTGGTGGGCACCTGTAGTCACAGCAGCTTGGGAAGCCAAGGCGAGAATATCACTTTAACCCAGGAGTTCAAGGTTATGGTGAGCAATGATTCTGCCACTGCACCCTAGTCTGGGTGACAAAGTGAGATCTTGTCTCAAAATGAAAAAAGTGGGTTTGAAACATTTCAAATTTTATAAAAAATATTTACTCATGGTTAATAATGATAATTAAATAATAACTAATATTTGTTAAAACAATTTAAGCCAGCCACTTAGCTAGGTGATTATGCTATTTCATTTAAAAAGAATAAAATGCAAAATAAAATTTAAAAAGACATTTAATATTTGGTGTTTTATAAAGGAAAAAGTTACTTAAATCCTATTATTGAATGAGTCATAGCATTTAATTCTTAAAATTTCTTTATAATGTCTATTTTCAAAACTGCACCAATAAATTATTATTAATCTACAATAAAAATAATAAATACCATGAACACAGTTTTTCTGAAGAAGTTCTTTAAAATTATCAAAACGTTAACATTAAAGACTATGTTTTAAAAAAGTGAAATTAACAAAATCCATAAATTAAGAGTAAAATAGAACTCAACTAGCAGTCATATTAACAAAAAGAGAAATCTTTAATTCTAGATTATTCATAATCAAGGTAAATTTTGACTTCCTAGTGAGAAAATATTCCTTCTTTCAGGAAAATTCACTTAATATATAGAACTATAAAATATGTTTTTCTTTGTACTGTCTTTCATCTTCATAATCGTGGAACCATTTGCCATATGTGTACTCTATGTAGGATAATTAAGTCAGCCATTAGAAAACAGTTAAGTTTTATCGTATTACAGTCACATATGGATTTCAAATCATTTTAACTTCTTTAGTAGATCCTGTGAAGTAGGAAAACTAAGAGTCCAAACATTAGAAAATATTCGGACTCAGTCTTTTCCTGGGTCTGGAAAGGATTATGAATGTCAGCACCCTTTTCTCTGGGGACCCTTGGAAGTGCGTCAGGCAAGAATATTTATTTAATTTCATTCACCTTCATAAATATAGCCATTATATATTTGTTTATTTTTTTAACAGAACAAAACAGTGCTATAGAGGGGAAGCCCAAAGGAAAGTCTAATTCCAAATTGATAATCATACTCAGATAATCATAATCTTTTGTTTTTTCTTTTTTTTTTGGAGACAGAGTCTTGCTCTGTTGCCCAGGCTGAAGAGCAGTGGCATAATCTCTGTTCACTGTAACCTCCACATCCCAGGTTTGAGAGATTCTCCTGCCTCTGCCTCCTGAGTAGCTAGGATTACAGGCGTGTGCCATCACACCCGGGTTTTTTTTTGTATTTTTAGTAGAGACGGGGTTTTGCCATGTTGGCCAGGCTGGTCTGGAACTCGGGCCTCAAGAGATCTGCCAGTCTCACCTTCACAAAGTGATAAGATTACAAGTGTGAGCCACTGCACCCAGTCAGATAATCATAAACTTATGACTAACCAGGTCCTTTTCTCTTCATAAGGTAGTTTAGAAAACATCTATCACTACTATAATTTGATGGAAAGAGTAAAAAGGAATGTGTGTACCATGTAGACATTGTACTTATATTAATACTGCCATTTCAAGTAGTTTTCTTTTTTTGCTTAAATATGTACAATTTTATTTGTCAATTATTCCTCAATAAACCTGGAAAAACTTTGAAAGAATATGCTCGAAGAAAAAACCATATCACTTCACCTAAATCCAGTACTGCCCCACACTCTAGAGGTCTCCTTTGCTTGTCCTCAGCCTTGCCCATCCCCAAGGGCTGGGGAATATTCTGGCTGACAGACATGTCCATCTGGGGCTCATCTCCCACCTCTCCTGGTTATTTTTATTTCATGATTCAGATATCTTAGGATACAGAATCCCTGTTAATTTTCATTTTTTTTGGAGTCTGTTTACCTGAGGTTAGACCATATTCACTATGCACACTCCTAGACCAAAAGGTGGCCAAGGACCAACTGTGGGAGTGGGAGTGGGAGTGGGGAACTGTAGTATGGGTGGTGTTTGAACACATGAACTGGGGTGTCCACACGCATGTGCAGGATGGACCGAGGGCTAGGAGGAGAAGGGAAACCCAGCTCCTGGCCAGATGACTGGAGGCTGGCTCTCCTTGCATTGCTGTGTGCTAGCATAAACTTGTAGGAGTTTGCAAATTTTAAATGTGATCTTGGCTTCTAGGTTATTATGAAGATATGTGGTCAAAGTAACAGTACATCTTTTTTTGTTTTGTTAACTTGCCTTATAAAACTTTAAGTATTTAGGCACATGGCTGAATAGTCTTCATTTGCATTTTTGTCCCAACCATGGCAACAGTCAGGACAGGATGGCTTGGATACACTAATTGTCAGCATTTTGCCACATTTGCTTTCTCTGTCTGTCTGTCTGTCTATCTGTCTGTCTACATTCTACCTGCCTATGTAGCAATGGGCCTCTTTTTTATTTTTATTATACTTTAAGTTCTAGGGTACATGTGCACAACGTGCAGGTTTGTTACATATGTATACATGTACCATGTTGGTGTGCTGCACCCATTAACTCGTCATTTACCGTAAGTATATCTCCTAATGCTATCCCTCTCCCCTCTCCCAACCCACAACAGGCCCCAGTGTGTGATGGTCCCCTTCCTGTGTCCAAGTGTTCTCATTGTTCATTTCCCACCTATGAGTGAGAACATGCGATGTTTGGTTTTTTGTCCTTGCGATAGTTTGCTGAGAATGATGGTTTCTAGCTTCATCCATGTCCCTACAAAGGACATGAACTCATTCCTTTTTTATGGCTGCATAGTATTCCATGGTGTATATGTGCCACATTTTCTTAATCCAGTCTATCATTGATGGACATTTGGGTTGGTTCCAAGTCTTTGCTATTGTGAAGAGTGCTGCTATAAACATACGTGTGCATGTCTCTTTATAGCAGCATGATTTATAATCCTTCGGGTATATACCCAGTAATGGAATGGCTGGGTCAAATAGTATTTCTAGTTCTAGATCCTTGAAGAATCACCACACTGTCTTCCACAATGGTTGAACTAGTTTACAGTCCCACCAGCAGTGTAAAAGTGTTCCTGTTTCTCCACATCCTCTCCAGCACCTGTTGTTTCCTGACTTTTTAATGATCGCCATTCTAACTGGTGTGAGATGGTATCTCATTGTGGTTTTGATTTGCATTTCTCTGATGGCCAGTGATGATGAGCATTTTTTCATGTGTCTTTTGGCTGCATAAATGTCTTCTTTTGAGAAGTGTCTGTTCACATCCTTAGCCCACTTTTTGATGGGGTTGTTTGTTTTTTGTTTTTGTAAGTTTGTTTGAGTTCTTCGTAGATTCTAGGTATTAGCACTTTGTCAGATGAGTAGATTGCAAAAATTTTCTCCAATTCTGTAGGTTGCCTTTTCACCCTGATGGTAGTTTCTTTTGCTGTGCAGAAGCTCTTGAGTTTAATTAGATCCTATTTGTCAATTTTGTCTTTTGTTGCCATTGCTGTTGGTGTTTTAGACATGAAGTCCTTGCCCATGCCTATGTCCTGAATGGTATTGCCTAGGTTTTCTTCTAGGGTTTTTATGGTTTTAGGTCTAACATTTAAGTCTTTAATCCATCTTGAATTAATTTTTCATCTCAGCCCAAAATCTCCTTAAGCTGATAAGCAACTTCAGCAAAGTCTCAGGATACAAAATCAGTGTGCAAAAATCACAAGCATTCTTATACACCAATAACAGAAAAACAGAGAGCCAAATCACAAGTGAACTCCCATTCACAATTGCTTCAAAGAGAATAAAATACCTAGGAATCCAACTTACAAGAGATGTGAAGGACGTCTTCAAGGAGAACTACAAACCACTGCTCAACGAGATAAAAGAGGACACAAACAAATGGAAGAACATTCCATGCTCATGGATAGGAAGAATCAAAATCGTGAAAATGGCCATACTTCCCAAGGTTATTTATAGATTCAATGCCATCCCCATCAAGCTACCAATGACTTTCTTCGCAGAATTGGAAAAAAATACTTTAAAGTTCATATGAAACCAAAAAAGAGCCTGCATTGCCAAGACTATCCTAAGCCAGAAGAACAAAGCTGGAGGCATCACGCTACCTGACTTCAAAGTATACTACAAGGCTACAGTAACCAAAACAGCATGGTACTGGTACCAAAGCAGAGATATAGACCAATGGAACATAATAGAGCCCTCAGAAATAATACCACACATCTACAACCATCTGATCTTTGACACACCTGACAAAGACAAGAAATGGGGAAAGGATTCCCTATTTAATAAATGGTGCTGGGAAAACTGGCTAGCCATATGTAGAAAGCTGAAACTGGATCCCTTCCTTACCCCTTATCCAAATAGTTTTCAATGTATATCTTCATCTTCCTAAGTAGTTTGAGGTACATACACATATTTTCACCTTGTCATGTTTGAAATGTTTGGCCTCAAGACATATTAACCCTCATTATAGATCCGTACTGGACACTTGCTGTGATATCTATTTCCCTTAAGCCAACTGCAGTTTATTTGAGAGCGAATTCTAGAAAAGGAGAAAACAATTAATGCTAATGCAGATGCCGAAGAGCTACATCTAGGAGTAGAATTAGGGCTGTGCTTTAAGGCAAACCTGTCAGGCATGAAGAGCAAAGCAGTTAAAGTTCCCAGATTCTCTGGGAGTCCAGGGTAGGTACAGAATGACGAAAATAGCAAGTGAGGCAAATGGAGAATATAGTCACCCAAGATATCTCTTTTTATCTAGGGAAACTTAGGATCAAGTATACTTAGCTGTATTGGCTGTATTTACTAAATGTTAATACAGTTAATTAGCTGTATTAACTAAATGTTTTACCGTAACTTTCAGGTATACATGTCTTCTAAATTTAGCATGTTCCAAGCAATTTGCAAAATAAGGTAATCTGAAAATATTTCATAAAAGTAATTACCTGTAAAAATGTGCTGTAAAATGAGTTTAGTGTTATACTTATGTATTCACATTTTTATTTTTGTTAAATTGAATTGAAACCATTTCTTGACTGAAAACTCTTCATAGTTCTAAATGAAGGTGCATAGAAACATGTGTTAGTTCTTTTGAGAATTTGTTTTTTTAATTCTAACGACACGCAATTGCCTATTAAAAATAACTTTTACTTCAAAAAAAGAAGAAGAAATGCTCTAATTAGCTAATAAAGAGTGTCTTTAGTTTCAGGTTGCTTAGAAGGTTCATAAGAGACTGCAAAAAACATTTCATTACTATCCTAGGTGAGACAACTCAAGTCACTATTTCCAGTAAAATTATACATGTTTCATATACCTATATGTATGCGTATGCAGAGACAAAGATGGATATATACACAAACACATTGTTTAAATATGTAGGAGTGTTTATATGTTGTATATATAATCATATTTTATATGAAATAATCACTATGTTAAAATTTGAAAGCAAGTTGATACAGTGATTAAAATTATGAAAAAAATTTAAAATAAGGAAAGACTTTGTAATGTTTTTCTTATTGTTTAAATAGGGCAAAAAGTGATAAGCCAATTCAGTGAACAAACATTAAAAAAATTAAAGCTGTGTCTATACAGCTTA